>NC_000006.12:104616244-104767759 GCF_000001405.40 Homo sapiens | reverse complement strand
GTGACAGAGCATGCTTTGGGAAACCACAAGTAGATCAGAGTTGTGGAGCTTAGCTTAGATGGAAAAGTAAGCAAGTAGAAAAAGATGATGTGGGGAAGGGAGAAAGTGGCCAAATTCTGAAAGACTTTGCATCCACAAATAGTACTTTGAAAATTATTCTGAAGTCTGTGGAGATGATTGCAGATGTTAAAGAGGGAAATGACATGATCAAATTTCAGTTAAGAAAACAAAAAGAAACAACCAAACTCAGCTTGGAGTGTGAAAAATGGGTTGAAATGGGGCGGTACTAGAGTCAGGACAACTGAGAGGAGGCTGTGGCATTTTGGTTTGGGGAAGCATGCATGAAGAATTATGTAAGGCAAGTGGCAGTGAAGATGGAGAAAATGGAATAGCTTTTAAGCTTTTGAGGATAATAGAATTTATAGAACTTGGTAATTGGGAAGATGAGAAAGAGGAAGGACTCAAGGATAACTGCCACTGTTGTGGATTGGGCCACCTAATGTCTGATAGTGTTGCCATCATACTCTTCATCAACCTCATTATCATTAATTCTGTTTTTTAGTGATAATAATTACTACTTATTGAGTGCTTTGTGTTTCATGTATCTGAACCATGTTCTTTATGTTTCTCATTTCCTGTAACAGCCTCTTGAGATAGCTATTTCTCTTTATTTAGTGTGGAAACAGCCTTAATATTAAAACATTTGACATTTATTAGGTTTTTATAATGTGCTAGGCACTGTTTGATGTGCCTTATGGGTATTATACTTAACTCTGTGAGGTGGAGATACCCCTTTCTACAGGTGAGGAAACAGAAGCATATAGGAGCTAAGTAGCTTTCTCCATGCAGTCTGTAAATTTCAAGCCTGCTTGTGCAGGGGCCATCCAGTCTTCTCTGTATGGTTCCAATATTAGTATACGTGCTGCTGAGACAAGCACTTGAGCCTGCTTGTAACTACAACACTGCATTTCTTTAGACGTTAAATAACTGCCCGAGGGCACAAAACTTGTAACTGATGTTTTCTTATTTTAAATGGATGTCTATAAGACAGTGTAACTGCTAGGCTTCTCATTTACTAAGGCAGTGAATGTGAACAAAGTAGCAAATACAAATTTAGTATGTTTTAACGATTTCATTTTAATATGGTTTTATTGCTAGTCTTATATGATTAAATTTTTAGTGCTAGCTTTGCATGATTTATTTAACATACACATTTAATGCACATACAAGCACAAAATACAGACTTTTATCCATAGATTATTGACTTAAAGTGGATTCTTTATATGCATCTTTAGAAAAGTATACAGGTTGAGCATCCATAATTCAGAGTACCCCAGAGTCTGAAACTTTTCGAGTACTGACATGAAGCCATAAGTGGTAAATCCCATACCTGATCTCATATGACCAGGGGGCACTCAGAACACAAGCATACAACATACAGTTGTTTCAGCATCCCCAAAGGAAAAAAGACCCTCCCAGCCCCCTTCTGCTGCATATATATTTTTTCTTCAACACACCAAGATTCCATCATGCAAGCATGCCCACAAGGGTAATAAATGACATGTGCAGGACGCATATGCCAAGAGCAGGTTCCCCACTGTGCCCCACGTGGGGCCAAGGCCGATGTGCATTTGTGCATTACTCATGTCTTTTCTTTTCTTTTGCTTATTTTCTGCTCTGTGGTGCAGAGGTATTGTTGGGAATGTCAAAAAGGCCTGCAGATACCCCTGTGGGTAACAGTGACAGGGAAAAGAGGGAGCATTTGTCTTTATCCGTAGCACAGAAAGTCAAGCTGTTGGAGAAACTGGACAGCAATATAAATGTGAAATGTCCTACAGAAGAGTATGGTGTTGGAATGACCACACTATATAACTTGAAGAAACAAAAGAATAAACTGTTGACGTTCTGTGCCAAAACTGATGAAAAGAAGTTAATGAAAAATAGAATAACACTGCATAAAGCTAAAACTGAAGATCTCAATTGTGTATTTAAAGAGTGGATTTGTCAGCCTAACAGTGAACACTTGCCACTTAATGGTATGCCGATCATAAACAAGCAAAGATCTATCATAATGAAGTGAAAATTGAAGGGAACTCTGACTTTTCAACAGGCTGGTTGCAGAAATTTAAGAAGAGACATGATATTCATTTTTTAAAGATTTGTGGCAATAGAGCATCTGCTGATCACAAAACAGTGGTGAAATTCAGTGAGGAATTTGCCAAGGTCATTGCTGATGAAAATCTGATGCTAGAACAAGTCTATATTGCTGTTAAAATATCACTATTTTGTTGTTGTTGCCTCAGAAAGACACTGACTACAGCTGATGAGACAGCCCCTGTGGTAGGCTACCAAGGACAGAATAAATGTGCAGGGATGTCCTAGTGCAACAGGCAAGTGTAAGTGTAAATTTGCCATGATAGGCAAAAGCCTGTGTTCTCAATCTCTTCAAGGAGTGAATTTCTTACCAGTCCATTATTATGCTAGCAAAAAGGCATGGATCACCAGGGAAAATATTTTATACCAGTGGCTTGTGTTTACTGCATGGTGACTGCAAGACTTTGTTATTCCCTAACAACTGCTCTGCTCATCATCCAGCTGAAATTCTCATCAAAAATAATGTGTTTGCCATGTATTTTCCCTCAAATGTGACTTCATTAATTCAGCCATGTGACTGAATTAATCAGTCACATTAGATCAGTGAAGAATAAATATAACACTTTGTTGCATAGACTGCTAGCATCAGTGAACAGAATTGTAATTGTGGAAGGTTTTCAAAGGGAGTTTAATATGAAGGATGTTGTGTATGCTGTTGCCAGTGCTTGGAACACAGTGAGTAAAGACACAATTGTGCATGCCTGGCACAACCTCTGGCCTGCAACTATGTTCAGTGATGGTGACGAGCAAATGTGTGACTTTGAAGGATTCTGTATGTCAAGTGAAAGAAATGATGTTTGACTGCCTTACATATGCAAAAAAATATACCTTCAGAGTTTGTTAGTGAACTGAAAGAAGTGGATATTGAAAAGGTCTGTAACACTGGTTATAAGGCTCCAATTGCTCATTCATTGATGATGAAGTAGCCAAAATGGTTCTGAGTGTAGGTGATGGTGATAATAGTGATGATGAAGATAACATTAAAACTGAAGAAGAAGTGCCTATAGATGACATGGTGAAAATATGGCATTCACAACAGAACAAGAAATCATGTTAGTTTATAAAATCAAAGAGAGATTTCTAAGGCAAACACCATTGTTAATGAGGCAGATAACCCTGGAGGAAACATTTAAAAATCCATCCAGCAGAATGACTCCTCATTCCTAGAAGACCCACTTGCTGTCCTCTCAACTGCTTCTTCTCACCTTAAAACATAAAATAATGTACAGGCCGGGCATAGTGGCTCACACCTGTAATCCCAGCACTTTGGGAGGCCGAGGTGAGTGGATCACCTGAGGTCAGGAGTTTCAGACCAGTCTGGCCAATATGGTGAAACCCCGTCTCTACTAAAAATACAAAAATTAGCTGGGCATGGTAGTGCGTGCCTGTAATCCCAGCTACTTGGGAGGCTGAGGCAGGAGAATTGCTTGAACCTGGGAAGTGGAGGTTGCAGTGAACCAAGATCACAGTGCCACTGCACTCCAGCCTGAGCAACAGAGTGAGACTCTGTCTCACAAAAAATAAAAAGTGTGCAGTACTTTTTTTTTGTTTGTTTGTTTGAGATAAAATCTTGCTCTGTCACCCAGGCTGGAGTGCAGTGGTGGGATCTCGGCCCACTACAACCTTTGCCTCTCAGGTTCAAGCAGTTCTGCCTTAGCCTCTCAAGTAGTTAGGATTACAGGCGCCTACCACCACACCTGGCTAATTTTTGTATTTTTAGTAGGAATGAGGTTTCACCATGTTGGCCAGGCTGGTCTCGATATCCTGACCCCAAGTGATCTGCCCACCTCGGCCTCCCAAAGTGCTGGGATTATAGGCGTGAGCCACTGAGCCTGGCCTACAGTACCTTTTAATCAAAACAAAGCATTCCAGATGGAAACAGAAAGCCTGCTGTTTGTTGCTTCTGTTTAACAGCTGGCACAGATATTCTGGTGATGCCTCTGTGCTGCTGTAGCTACCCTGAACATGTGATTTTTTTCACTGTATTAATGGTATGCCCCTTTTTTTTTTTTAACCATTAAGTAGTTAGGTGTAAGTGTAAGAAAATGGTTGCTTATTGGTAACATGTAAATTTGGTCAGGAATAATGGTGATGTCAAACAACCACAGATTGTGTCTACACGGGTGGCTGAGATAGTGATCCCTTTACTTTCTGATGGTTCAATGAAACAAATTCATGTTGAGACTTGGGTGTCATTGCCAAGATAACTCATTTTGTATATACAGATATTCCAAAATCTAAAACACTTTGAAATTTGAAACGCTTCTGGTCCCAAGCATTTTGGATAAGGGATACTCAATCTGTACTATGAGATTTGTTTTTTTACTACTCTGAAAACTTTTAAAACAGGTAGTGTAAGTCTACAGTTTTTTCATGTTGAGTATACGTGTGTGTTATTAGGTGGGTTTGAATGATCTTTTTGGTATCTTCCTGTCAACAATGAAAACATGAAAACACACTTCTCCTTGCATTTTAGATAGTATATTCTAGAAATTAACTTTAAAAATTACCAAACCTATAAAATGGTAACCTGAATGACCAGTATTTTCTTTTTATTTGCTGGGAAATTTGTTTATTTCTTATTTGACTGATTCTTTTTTTTTTTTTTTTTTTTTTGAGATGGAGTCTTACTCTGTTGCCCAGGCTCGAGTTCAGTGGCGCGATCTCAGCTCACTGCAAGCTCCACCTCCCAGGTTCACACCATTTTCCTGCCTCAGCCTCCCGAGTAGCTGGGACTACAGGTGTCCACCATCATGCCAGGCTAATTTTTTGTACTTTTAGTAGAGACGGGGTTTCACTGTGTTAGCCAGGATGGTCTCGATCTCCTGACCTCGTGATCTGCCTGCCTCGGCCTCCCAAAGTGCTAGGATTACAGGTGTGAGCTACCGCGCCCGGCCTTTTTTTAAAATTATACTTTAAGTTCTGGGTTACATGTGCAGAATGTGTGGGTTTGTTACATAGGTATACACGTGCCATGGTGGTTTGTGGCACCCATGAAACCGTCAGCTACATTAGGTATTTCTCCTAATGTTATCCCTCCTCTAGCCCCCCACCCTCAGCAGGCCCTGGTGCGTGATGTTCCCCTCCTTGTGTCCATGTGTTTCTCATTGTTCAACTCTCACTTGTGAGTGAGAACATGCAGTGTTTGGTTTTCTGTCCTTGTGATAGTTTGCTGAGAATGATGGTTTCCCACTTCATCCATGTCCCTGCAAAGGACATGAACTCACCATTTTTTATGGCTGCATAGTATTTCATGGTGTATATGTGCCACATTTCCTTAATCCAGTCTATCATTGATGGACATTTGGGTTGGTTCCAAGTCTTTGCTATTGTGAACAGTGCTGCAGTAAACATACGTGTGCGTGTGTCTTTATAGTAGCGTGATTTATAATCCTTTGGGTATATACCCAGTAATGGGATCACTGGGTCAAATGGTATTTCTAGTTCTAGATCCTTGAGGAATCGCCACACTGTCTTCCACAATGGTTGAACTAATTTACACTCCCACCAACAGTGTAAAAGTGTTCCTCTTTCTCCACAACCTCTCCAGCATCTGTTGTTTCCTGACTTTTTAATGATCGCCATTCTAAATGGTGTGAGACAGTATCTTATTGTGGTTTTGATTTGCATTTCTCTAATGACCAGTGATGATGAGCATTTTTTCATGTGTCTGTTGGGTGCATAAATGTCTTCTTTTGAGAAGTGTCTGTTCATATCCTTTGCCCATTTTTTGATGGGGTTGTTTGTTTTTTTCTTGTAAATTTGTTTAAGTTCTTTGTAGATTCTGGATATTAACCCTTTGTCAGATGGATAGATTGCAGAAATTTTCTCCCATTCTGTAGGCTGCCTGTTCACTCTGATGATAGTTTCTTTTGCTGTACAGAAGCTCTTTAGTTTAATTAGATCCCATTTGTCAATTTTGTCTTTTGTTGCCATTGCTTTTGGTGTTTTAGACATGAAGTCTTTGCCCATGCCTATGTCCTGAATGGTATTGCCCAGGTTTTCTTGCAGGATTTTTATGGTCCTAGGTCTTACGTTTAAGTCTTTCATCCGTCTTGAGTTGATTTTTGTATAAAGTATAAGGAAGGGGTCCAGTTTCAGTTTTCTGCATATGGCTAGCCAGTTTTCCCAAAACCATTTATTTAAAAAGGAATCTTTTCCCTATTGCTTATGTGTGTCGGATTTGTCAAAGAGCAGATGGTGGTAGATGTGTGGTGTTACTTCTGAGGGCTCTGTTCTGTTCCATTGTTCTATATATCGTTTTGGTACCAGTACCATTCTGTTTTGGTTACTGTAGCCTTGTAGTATAGTTTGAAGTCTGGTAGCATGATGCCTCCAGCTTTGTTCTTCTTGCCCAGGATTGTCATGGCTATGCGGGCTCTTTTTTGGTTCCATATGAAGATTAAATTAGTTTTTTCCATTTCTGTGAAAAAAGTGAATGGTAGCTTGATGGAGATAGCATTGAATCTATAAATGACTTTGGGCAGTAAGGCCATTTTTATGATATTGCTTCTTCCTATCCATAAGCATGGAATGTTTTTCCATTTGTTCGTGTCCTGTCTTATTTCCTTAAAGCAGCGGTTTGTAGTTCTCCTTGAAGGGGTTCTTCACATCCCTTGTAAGTTGTATTCCTAGGTATTTTATTCTCTTAATAGTAATTGTGAATTTAAGTTCACTCATGATTTGTCTCTCTGTTTGTCTCTTATTGGTGTATAGGAATGCTTGTGATTTTTGCACATTGATTTTGTATCCTGAGACTTTGCTGAAGTTGCTTATCAGCTTAAGGAGATTTTGCGCTGAGACAATGGGGTGTTCTAAATACACAATCATGCCATCTGCAAACAGGGACAATTTGACTTCCTCTCTTCCTATTTGAATACACTTTATTGCTTTCTCTTGCCTGATTGCCCTGGCCAGAATTTCCAATACTATGTTGAATAGGAGTGGTGAGAGAGGACATCCTTATCTTGTGCCAGTTTTCAAAGAGAATGCTTCCCGTTTTTTTCCCTATTCAGTATGATATTGGCTGTGGGTTTGTCATAAATAGCTCTTATTACTTTGAGATGCATTCCATCAATTCCTAGTTTACTGAGAGTTTTTAGCATGAAAGGCTGTTGAATTTTGTCAAAGGCCTTTTTTGCATCTATTGAGATAATTGTGGTTTTTGCTGTTGGTTCTGTTTATTTGATGGATTACATTTATTGATTGTGTATGTTGAACCAGCCTTGCATCCCAGGGATGAAGCCGACTTGATCGTGGTGGATAAGCTTTTTATGTGCTGCTGGATTTGGTTTGCCGGTATTTTATTGAGTATTTTTGCATTGATTTTCATCAGGGATATTGGTCTAAAATTCTCTTTTTTTGTTGTGTCTCTGCCAGGCTTTGGTATCAGGATGATGTTGGCCTCATAAAATAAGTTAGAGAGGATTCCCTCTTTTTCTATTGATTGGAATAGTTTCAGAAGGAATGGTACCAGCTCCTCTTTGTACCTCTGGTAGAATTTGGCTGTGAATCCACTGGTCCTGGACTTTTTTTAGTTGGTAGGCTATTAATTATTGCCTCAATTTCAGAACCTCTTATTGATATATTCAGAGATTCAACTGCTTCCTGGTTTAGTCTTGGGATGGTGTATGTGTCTAGGAATTTATCCATTTCTTCTGGATTTTCTAGTTTATTTGCATAGAGATGTTTATAGTATTCTCTGATGGTAGTTTGTATTTCTGTAGGATTAGTGGTGATATCCCCTTTATAATTTTATTGCATGTATTTTATTCTTCTCTCTTTTCATCTTTATTAGTCTTGCTAGCTGTGTATCTATTTTGTTGATCTTTTCAAAAAACTAGTTCCTGGATTTATTGATTTGTTTGAAGGGTTTTTCATGTTCCTGTCTCCTTCAATTCTGCTCTGATCTTAGTTATTTCTTGTATTCTGCTAGCTTTTGAATTTGTTTGCTCTTGCTTCTCTAGTTCTTTCAATTGTGATGTTAGGGTGTTGATTTTAGATCTCTCCTGCTTTCTCTTGTGGGCGTTTAGTGCTAAAAATTTCCTTCTACACATTGCTTTAAATGTGTCCCAGAGATTCTGGTACGTTGTGTCTTTGTTCTCATTGGTTTCAGATAACATTTTTATTTCTGACTTACTTTCGTTATTTACCCTGTAGTCATTCAGGAGCGCGTTGTTCAGTTTCCATTTAGTTGAGCAGTTTTGAGTGAGTTTCTTAATCCTGAGTTCTAATTTGATTGCACTGTGCTCTGAGAGACAGTTTGTTGTGATTTCTTTTCTTTTACATTTCCTGAGGAGTGTTTTACTTCCAATTATATGGTCAGTTTTAGAATAAGTGCGATGTGGTGCTGAGAAGAATCTATATTCTGTTGATTTGGGGTGGAGAGTTCTGTAGATGTCTATTAGGTCTGCTTTGTCCAGAGCTGAGTTCAAGTCCTGG
Source organism: Homo sapiens (assembly GCF_000001405.40). NCBI lineage: Eukaryota > Metazoa > Chordata > Mammalia > Primates > Hominidae > Homo > Homo sapiens. Next base: position 104,759,164 of record NC_000006.12, on the reverse strand, counting down.
ATAACCTTGTTAACCTTCTGTCTCACTGATCTGTCTAATATTGACAGTTAGGTGTTAAAGTCTCCCATTATTGTGTGGGAGTCTAAGTCTCTTTGTAGATCTCTAAGGACTTGCTTTATGATTCTGGGTTCTCCTGTATTGGGTGCATACATATTTAGGTCATTTAGCTCTTCTTGTTGCATTGATCCTTTTACCATTATGTAATGTCCTTCCTTGTCTGTTTTGATCTTCTTTGGTCTAACGTCTGTTTTATCAGAGACCAGGATTGCAACCCCTGCTTTTTTTTTTTTGCTTTCCATTTGCTTGGTAGATCTTCCTCTATCCCTTTATGTTGAGCCTATGTGTGTCTTTGCACGTGAGATGGGTCTCCTGAATACAGCACACTGATGGGTCTTGACTCTATCCAATTTGCCAGTCTGTGTCTTTTAATTGGGTCATTTAGCCCATTTACATTTAAGGTTTGTATTGTTATGTGTGAATTTGATGCTGTCATTATGATGCTAGCTGGTTATTTTGCCCATTTATTGATGCAGTTTCTTCATAGCGTCGATGGTCTTTACAGTTTGGCTTGTTTTTGCAGTGGCTGGTACCGGTTGTTACTTTCCATGTTTAGTGCTTCCTTCAGGAGCTCTTGCAAGTCAGGCCTGGTGGTGACAAAGTCTCTCAGCATTTGCTTGTCTGGAAAGGATTTTATTTCTCTTTCACTTATGAAGCTTAGTTTGGCTGGATATGAAATTCTGGGTTGAAAATTCTTTTCTTTAAGAATACTGAATATTGGCCCCCATTCTCTTCTGGTTTGTAGGGTTTCTGCAGAGAGATCTGCTGATAGTCTGATGGGCTTCCCTTTGTGGGTAACCCGACCTTTCTCTCTGGCTGCCCTTAACATTTTTTCCTTCATTTCAACCTTGGTGAATCTGACATTTTATATGTCTTGGGGTTGCTCTTCTCGAGGAGTATCTTTGTGGTGTTCTCTGTATTTCCTGAATTTGAATGTTGGCCTCCCTTGCTAGGTTGGGGAAGTTCTCCTGGATAATATCCTGAAGAGTGTTTTCTAACTTGGTTCCATTCTCCCCGTCACTCTCAGGCACACCAATCAAATGTATATTTGGTCTTTTCACATAGTCCCATATTTCTTGGAGGCTTTGTTAGTTTCTTTTCATTCTTTTTTTCTCTAATCTTGTCTTTTCACTTTATTTCATTGATTTGATCTTCAGTCATTGACATCCTTTCTTCCACTTGATCGAATCGGCTATTGGAGCTTATGTATGCTTCATGAAGTTTTCATACTGTGGTTTTCAGCTCCATCAGGTCATTTAAGCTCTTCTCTACACTGGTTATTCTAGTTAGCCATTCGTTTAACCTTTTTTCAAGGTTTTTAGCTTCCTGGTGATGGGTTAGAACATGCTCCTTTAATTTGGAGAAGTTTGTTATTACCAACCTTCTGAAGCCTACTTCTGTCAGTTCATCAAACTCATTCTCCATCCAGTTTTGTTCCATTGCTGGCCAGGAGTTGTGTTCCTTTGGAGGTGAAGAGGTGTTCTGGTTTTTGGTATTTTCAGCCTTTCTGCTCTGGTTTCTCCCCATCTTTGTGGTTTTATCTACCTTTGGCTTTGATGTTTGTGACCTATAGATGGGGTTTTGGTGTGGATGTCCTTTTTGTTGATGTTGATGCTCTTCCTTTCTGTGTGTTAGTTTTCCTTCTAACAAACAGGCCCCTTAGCTGCAGGTCTGTTGGAGTTTGCTGGAGGTCCACTCCAGACCCCATTTGCCTGGGTATCACCAGCGGAGGCTGCAGAACAGCAAATATTGCTGCCTGTACCTTCTTCTGGAAGCTTCGTCCCAGAGGGGCACCCGCCTGTATGAGGTGTCCAGTCAGGCTACACGGGAGTCAGGGACCCACTTGAGGAGGTAGTCTGTCTGTTCTCATAGCTCAAACACTGTGCTGGGAGAACCACTGCTCTCTTCAGAGCTGTCAGGCAGGGATGTTTAAGTCTGGAGAAGCTGTCTGCTGCCTTTTGTTCAGGTACGTCCTGCCCCTAGAGGTGGAATCTAGAGAGGCAGTAGGCCTTGCTGAGCTCCAGTGGCCACCGCCCAGTTCAAGCTTCCCTGCCTCTTTGTTTATACTGTGAGCAGAGAACCTCCTACTCAAGCCTCAGCAATGGTGGACGCCCCTCTCCCCGCCAAGGTCCAGCGACCCAGGTCAATCTCAGACTCCTGTGCTGGCAGCAAGCAAGGCTCCATGGGCATGCGACCCTCTGAGCCAGGCACAGAAGGGAATCTCCTGGTCTGCCAGTTGCGAAGACTGTGGGAAAAGTGCATTATTTGGGCAGGAGTGTACCATTCCTCCAGGGACAGTCAGTCACGGCTTCCCTTGGCTAGGAAGGGGAAAACCCCTGACCCCTTGCGCTTCCCGGGTGAAACGACACCCTGCCCTGCTTTGGCTCGCCCTCCGTGGGCTGCACCCACTGTCCAACCAGTCCCAATGAGTTGAACCAGTCACCTCAGTTGGAAATGCAGACATCACCCATCTTCTGTGTCAGTCTCGCTGGGAGCTGTAGACCAGAGCTGTTCCTATTCGGCCATCTTGGAAACGACTCTTCGATCACTATTTTCAATGACTGAATTTGTCTCAAGGAAGCTGAAGTAATAGGATTTTTATCAGACTATCAATTCTTATAACTAGTTTGTGACTTTAATAATAAGTGTGTGTGTGTGTGTATATATATATATATATATATTTTTTTTTTTTTTTTGAGATGGAATCTGGCTCTGTCACTCAGGCTGGGGTGCAGTGGTGTGATCTCAGCTCACTGCAACCTCTGCCTACTGGGTTCAAGAAATTCTCCTGCCTCAGCCTCCTGAGTAGCTGAGACTACAGGCATGCACCACCATGCCTGGCTAATTTTTTGTGTTTTTAGTAAAGATGACGTTTCACCATGCTGGCCCAGCTGGTCTAGAACTCCTGACCTTGTGATCCACCCACCTCAGCCTCTCAAAGTGCTGGGATTACAGGCATGAGCCACCGTGCCTGGCAGGTTGTTTATATTTCTTTGGGGTCAGTGGTGATATCTACCTTATCATTTCTGATTGTGTTTACTTCATTCTTCTCACTTTTCTTCATTAGTCTAGCTAGAGGTCTATCTATTTTATTAATATTTTCAAAAAATCAGCTCCTGGATTCATTGAATTTTTTGAAGGGTTGTTTTGTGTCTCTGTCTTCTTCAATTCACCTCTGATCTTGGTTATTTCTTGTCTTCTGCCAGCATTGGAGTTTGTTCGCTCTTGGCTCTCTAGTTATTTTAGTTGAGATGTCAGATTGTTAACTTGAGATCTTTCTAGCTTTTTGATGTGGGCATTTAGTGCTATAAATTTCCCTCTTAACACTGCTTTAGCTGCATCCCAGAGATTCTGGTACATTGTCTCTTTGTTCTCATTAGTTTCAGATAAATTCTTGATTTCTCCCATAATTTTGTTGTTTACCCAAGAGTCATTCAGGAGCAGGTTGTTCAATTTCTATGTAGTTGTGTGGTTTTGAGTGAATTTCTTAATCTTGAGTTCTAATTTGATTGTGCTGTGGTCTGAGAGACTGTTTGTTATGATTTCATTTCTTTTGCATTTGCCAAGGAAAGTTTTACTTCTGATTATGTGATCAATTTCAGAATAAGTGTCATGTGGTGATGAGAAGAATGTATATTCTGTTGAATTTCGGTGGGAAGTTCTGTAGATATCTATCAGGTCCACTTGATACAGAGCTGAGTTCAGGTCCAGAATATCTTTGTTAAATTTCTGTCTTGATGATCTGTCTAATATTGTTAGTGGGCTGTTAAAGCCTCTCACTATTATTGTGTGGGAGTCTCAGTCTCTTTGCAGTTCTCTAAGCACTTGTTTTTTGAATTTGGTGCTCCTATGTTGGTTGTATATATATTTATGATAGCACTTCTTGTTGAATTGAACCTTTTACCATTATGTAATGCCCTTGTCTTTTTTTAATCTTTGTTGGTTTAAAGTCTCTTTTGTCAGAATCTAGGGTTGCAACTCCTGCTTTTTTCTGTTTTCCATTTGCTTGGTAAAATTTCCTCCATCCCTTTATTTAGAGCCTGTGTGTGTCTTTGCATGTGAGATGGGTCTCTTGAGGACAGCATACTGATGGGTCTTGGCTCTTCATCCAGCTTGCCATTCTTGGTCTTTTAATTGGGGCATTTAACCCATTTACATTTAATGTTAGTATTGTTATGTATGAATTTGATCCTGTCATGACGATGCTAGCTGGTTATTTTGCAGGCTTGGTTTATGTGGTTGCTTCATAGTGTCACTGGTCAGTGTACTTCAGTGTATTTTTGTAGTGGCTGGTAACAATTTTTTCTTTCCATATTTAGTTCTTTCTTCAGGAGCTCTGGTAAGGCAGGACTGGTAGTAACAAATTCCCTCAGCATTTGCTTTTCTGAAAAGGATCTTATTTCTCCTTTGCTTATAAAGCTTAGTTTGTCCAGATATGAAATTCTCAGTTGGAAATTCTTTTCTTTAAGAATGTTGAATATTGGCCACCAGTCTCTTCTGGCTTGCAGGGTTTTTACTGAGAGGTTTGCTATTAGTCTGAAGGGTTTCCCTTTGTAGGTGACCTGGCCTTTATCTCTGGCTGCCCTTAACAGCTTTTCTTTCATTTGGACCTTGGGGAATCTGATGGCTTTGGGGAATCTGATGTGAAGACACATCTGATTATATGTCTTGGGGTTGATCTTTTTGTGGAGTGTATTACTGGGGTTCTCTGCATTTCCTGAATTTGAATGTTGGCCTGTCCTGATAATCTGGGGGAGTTCTCCTATATGATATCCTGAAGTATGTTTTCCAACTTGGTTCCATTCTCCTCGTCTCTTTCAGGTACCTCAGTCAGTCATAGGTTTGGTCTCTTTACATAACCCCATATCTCTTGGAGGTTTTATTCATTCCTTTTTGTTCCTTTTTCTCTATTATTGTCTGCCTGTCTTATTTTGGACAGTCTTCAAGCTCTGAGGTTCTTTCCTCTGCTTGGTCTATTCTGCTATTGATACTTGTGATTGCATTGTGAAGTTCTCATGTTGTGTTTTTCAGCTCCATTAGATCTGTTATGTTCCTCTCTAAACTGACTGTTGTGGCTGTCAGCTCCTGTATTGTTTTATTGTGATTCTTAGCTTCTTTGCATTGGGTTAAAACATGCTCCTTTATCTCAGTGAAGTTTATTATTACCCACCTTCTGAAGACTATTTCTGTCAATTCAGCCATCTCAGCCTCAGACCAGTTCTGTGCTTTTGCTGGAGAGGTGTTGCGGTCATTTGGAGGAGAAGAGGCACTCTGGCTTTTTGAGTTTTCAGCATTTTTGTGTTGATTCTTTCTCATCTTTTTGGCCTTAATCTACCTTTGTTCTTTGAGGTTGCTGACCTTTGACTGAGGTTTTTGTGGGGTCTTTTTGTTGATATTGTTGTTGTTTTCTGTTGATTTGTTTTTCTTTTAGTAATCTGGCCACTTTACTGTATATAGGGCTGCTGTGGTTTGCCAGGGGTCCTCTCCAGACCCCAGTTGCCTTGGTTTCTCCCATACCTGGAGGTATCAGCAGAGAAGGCCATGAAGCAGCAAAGATGGCAGGCAGGTCCTTCCTCTGGAAGCTCTGTCCCAGGGGGTAGGTACTTACCTGTTGTTGGCCTGCATGCACCTATAAGAGGTGGCTGGAGACCCCTGCTGGGAGATCTTAACAAGTCACAAGGAATGGGATCAGGGACTTGCCTAAAGAAGCAGTCTGGCTGCTTTTTGGTAGAGCACATGTGCTGTGTTGAAGGGGACCCTACCTTTTCTGGACCGCCTGTATTCTCCAAAGCCAGCAGGTGGGAGCAGCTGAGTTGACTGAACCCCAGACATGGCAGTCACCCCTTGTCCCCGGAGCTCGGTCCCAGTGAGATACCAAAGCGCTGTCCTTAGAACCCTTAGCCAGTGTATTTCTACACAACATGAACACTTGAAATGTTACTGGGCAACAGTAGTGGGTGTTCATAGTAAAATTTGTATTGTCAAGATAATATTAATTTGTTTTATTATGTTTGAAGGTGTACTGTTTAGCGAGGCAGGGAAACATTTTAGAAGCAGTTCGACTTAGATTTTTCCATTAAACACAGCTCTTTCAAGTATTTGAAAAACTCTTATATTACTGAAAAATTAAGTGTTTATGATAGCTAGGATTTCATTATTTTATTGAAAAATAATTTAGTTCAACTGCCATCCACATTTGAATTACTTAATTGGCATGAAGACTGGGATGTGAAGGAGCTGATTTTCAAAAATTGGTATCAATAACTATGAACTGGGTTACTGAAATACATGTGGAAAATAATAAATATTAAAATAAATGGAAGGAAAAGTGTGATAAAGAGTATTATATTTGTAAAAATTAATTAAAAAATAAAATGTAGGAGGAAATAATAGGAATTAATTGGTAAAAAATAGAGTATATACTATTCTGATAGATATGGAATGCAATTAAAATAGGTAACGTTCACATGAGCAAGTCATAAATCTTTTATTTTCATGCTTCATGACTTGTTAAGGTCTTCCACAGAGATTATTGAGTCACACTTTAAGATGGTAAAGCCAAAACCTCTTGGGAAAAAGTCTCTTTAGGGAAGAATAGGGTCTTTCCTGGCATCTTAAAAAATATAATATATAATTAATTAATTATATGAATGGGGCAGAAAACTTTTAGTACATCCAGTGAACAATTTTAGTGAGAGTAGACATAAACTGAAATATAGTCATGTGCTAATGCAGGTATCACTGCTGTAATCACTATGAAATATTTTATATATGTTATTTCCCGGGTTGGACTCCAGAAATTTAGTGTATGTTTCTGTTTGACTGTTGGGTACACATTTCTGTCTCCCTCTCTATAATAAGTACCTGTATGTGACTTGTAGCTGATTAATTCCTATATAGTAGAGAAAAACTTGCACCTTTGGTTGGTGGGAAGTGGAATTTGGGGTGAGACTAGATTGAATAGCAGAGATGGTAGCTTTCCTTGTGTTAAATTATAAAAGGAGCCACACAGGGTTTCGGGAGAGCTGTATGGAATCTACTGTGACACTTCTGTAGCTCTGAGAGCTGTGAAGAATTCATAGCTAGCAGTCATATAGAACTTGCTGGCTCAGTGCCTTTTTTTGGTCTTTTTTTCCCCTGTTTTTTTTTTTTGTTTGGTTTTTTTTGTTTGTTTGTTTTTGAACAGAGCATCAGATTAGTGCCAAAAAAAGAAAAATAAAGGAAGAGGGCTAAAACAGAGTTTCTTCCCTGTTAGAGTATTAATTCCTAGTAGGTAGGAGCTATATACCTGCTATAGCATATTGTTTTTAACTCACAAAGTTTCACTTATAACTAATTAAAAAATATATAAATGATAACCTAATAGTTTATATGTGTATACAGGCACATACTCTTTCTCTCTCTGTATATAATTCATTTTGTTCTAAGCCAAAATACATTTTTAAATTACCAGTTATTATTATTATTTTTTTCTTTAAGAGACAGGATCTTGCCCTGTTGCCCGGGTTGGAGTGTGGTGGCACGGTCATAGTTCACTGCAGACTCGAACTCCTGGGCTCAAGCAATGCTTCCACCTCAGCCTCCCCTAGTAACTAGGAGTACAGGCATGTGCCACCATGCCCTCTGCTTATTACCAGTTAAATTTTAAGTAACAATATTTTCTATGATTATCACGTATTTTAAAATAAAATGGGTGAATATGTAGATTACCTTAACTCAGAATTGAATTGACTATGCTACAAAGAATGATTTTACCAAGTTCTAAGTATGTGTTAAGTGAATTTGATGATGGTATGCATTCATTCTTCACATATTTTTTGAATACTTTCAAAGTGGCAGCCACTTTTTAGAAGTTGGTATATATCCTGGTAAAACAAAGTTCCTGTCTGCAGAGAGATTACATTCTAATGAGACATTTCAGTGAGAATGATCTAGAAGTATAAACACATTGGGGCCCGGACAAGCTTGTGTTTTGGGAATAGCCAGAAAGCCAGTGAAACTAGAATTGAGTGAATGAATGAACTAGGGGGAGAATGGAAAGAAGTGAGATCAGAGAGCAAGGCAGAGGCCAGATCATTTAGGGCCTTAGAGACCAGGAAAGGAATTTGGATGTTACTCCAGATGTCATGAGAAGTCATTATAGGGTTTTGAGCAAGAGAGCTGCCGGATCTGAGTTATTTACATGTACATACACACACATGTATATCTATGTGTATATACACATATATATATTTTTAAATCACTCTGGCTAAGATGTGGAGAAGCATCAGTACAGGGGCAAAAATGGAAACAGGGACACCAGATGTTGCAGTAATCCAGATGAGAAGTGATGATAGCTTGGACTGGGGTGCTGAAATGGAGGTAGTGAGACAAGGTAAGATTGAGAATATTTTTTTAAAGGTAGATCTGATAGTATCAGCTGAAATAGGGTGTGAGAGAAGTCATGGATGATTGAGTCCCTGGAATTTTTTCCTCAACAGCTTAGTGAATAGTGGCTTGCTGATTTGCTGAGATGTATGAGTGTTGGTGTCAATTTTATTTTAAACCTTTACCTCTTAAATAAGAAATAATTATATTAACATTAAGTATGTAAAAGGTTTTTGAAAAGTCATCATGAAAACTTCTTTTTCAACAGGCGGAGTACGTCCAGCTTGTTACTGAACTTCGAATGACAAGAGCCATTCAGCCTCAGATCAATGCTTTTTTACAGGGCTTTCATATGTTCATTCCACCCTCCCTCATACAGCTTTTTGATGAATATGAATTGGTAAGGAAAAACATCAGTTCTTATGTTGTAACACAACAACAAAAAACTCTAGTTGATGTAATTCAGAAATAATTGTGGAGTATTATGATGAATGAAATAATGTATAAATGAGACAAAATGGTTTAATGTCCATTTTTAGAGATTTGATATAAAATTTATGGATGAGCATCTCTTAAGCTTAATAACCAGATAAGCAGCTCCTTAATGTGAAGTGAGGTGAGGTGGTGACAAACTAAAATGGAATATATTCCTGTTTCTTCTATATGGGAGATGTTGAAGGCCAGTCTTCCTATATACACAGTATTCTACATTATTTCTGAATTTTTTATTTGACCACATGATGTAAAGGGCGCTGATACTAACTTCTTAAACTTCTAAAAAGAATTAAGAAGGTTTTTCTTATTGTATAGTATTGTCTTCTCCAGTTTCTTATATTGCCATATATATAATTTTATAATTCTTTATTTCAAACCTATGGAGTCCATCGTCTTTGCCATCCTCTAGTCCCTAATGAATGTTTGGTTTTGCTACTTTAATTTGCCTTTATTGTACTGTGATCCAACAGGATTTCTAATTTTATATGATTTATGTCTGCATTTTTCTCTATTTTCTTTTTCTCTTTAGTTTTGGTAATTTGGAGAATTATTTTTAAACTCTTTGAGTTGTCTAAATCTTAATAAAGCACAGTATTTTAAATAGCATATAGCTGCTTTCTTACCTAAAAGTATATAATTTGGAATAGTAAGTTCCAGATCAGTGGAAATGTTTTATTTAGTTTTTATTCTGTCTCAGAAAATTAGTTTTACCCCATGCCTTTCATTTTAGTATATGGATACAGATACGGATATATACCTTTAATTTTACATATGTATCAGTATTTTTAATTTATCATTCATAGTATATCTTAGTATAATAGTGAATAAAATTTGCTAATTAATTTTGAAGTCCATTGTGATTTAGTTTCATTAAATGTAAGTTTTGAGGTTTTTTTGATTGTTTTTAAGCTGTACAGTTAATGGCTTCAGTTAGCATAGATTTGTCTAGTTTTTATGTAACAATAGAAGTGATTTTCAGCATTTAAAAATGGAGGACTATTTGAGCTATTATATTATTAGACCTGACTGCAATATGGCTTTTCCTGTACTGTGCTTGGATTAAATTAGCCTTTTGAAATTCAAAACAGAGCATTAGTTATTTGCTGGACCTATATGTATGTAAAAAACAAATAGCAACAACAAAAATAATTGATGAAAACTTTGCCTTGTAATTTACTGATATCAATAAGTTTATAAAACTTTGGGTTATGATATACATGCAGAAAAGGACACACATCATAAATGTATAGCTTGATAAGTTTTAACAAACTGAACATACCCATGAAACTAACACCCAGATGAAGAAACAGAAATTCTAGCACCCCATATGTCACTCTGTCATCTCCCTCCAGTCATTCTCCCACCTTAAGGGTAACCATTCTCCTGACTTCTAAAATCATAGACGAGATTCGCCTATTTTAGAATTATGTAAATAGAATGTATCTGGCTTTCTTAGCTCAAGTTTTTGTTTGTGGGAATCATACATATTGTTGCATGCAGTTGGTAATTTGTTCATTTTAATTGCTGTATAGCATTTCAGTTTCCTTTAGTCTTTTCTACTCTTGATGAACATTTAGTGGGTACTTTTCAGTTTCAGGCTCTTTCAAGTACTGCTGCTATAAACATGCCTTTAGGAAAACATAAGTTTGCATTCTGTAGGTTATATGCCTTGGAGTGGAATTGCTGGGACATAGGCTGTGCATGTACCCCATTTCAGTAGATAGGAGCAGATAGTTTCTCAAGTGATGCATCAGTTTACACTCCCATTAGGAGGTGTGAGAGTTCTGGGTGTTCTGCATTCTCACTAGCATTTGATAATTTTCCATCTTTTTCATTTCCATTCTGGTAATTCAGTAGTGGTCTTTCCTTGAGATTTTAATTTGTATTTACCTGATAGCTAATGAAGTTACACACCTTTTATGATTATAGCCATTTGTGTACTGTTTTCAAAGTGTCTATTTAAGTAATTTGCCCACTTTTCTATTGTGTTTTTTTTTCTTTTTACTGATTTGTAGGACTCTTTATGAATTCTTTTATAAGAGTCTTTTATCAGATATATGTATTATGAATATTTTCTACTCAGGTCTTTTCAGTGAATAAAAATTTTGGGGTTTAACATAGTTCAGTTTATCAGTTTTTTTTGTTTTGTTTTGTTTTTTTTGATGGAAGAAGCTTTTTGTGTCCTGTTTTAGAAACTGTTTCTTACTCCAAGGCTGTGAAGATATTTTTCTGTGTTTTCTTTTAAAAGCTTTATTCCTTTATCTTTCACATTTAGGTCTGTTACTGGTAAGTTTTTAATTGTGGCTCTTACATTAAAATTTAGATCAGGTTCCTAGTTTGTCTTGGACTCTGACTTTACTAAGTTGAGCTGATTCACATTTGGGAAGAGCAACATTGTAGGCATGGTCTTGATTTATACAGTGATAATAATAATTATTAAGCATTTAGTATTTGCCAGGTATTTTATATGTATTAACTTTAAAAACGCTCACAAAAAATCTCTTGAGGTGAGTACTATTGTCCCCATTTTACAGATGAGAAAACTAGGCCAAAGAAGATATGGAACTTGTTCATGGTCATAGAGCATGTGTTAGTGATAGGCTATGAACTCATGTTCCCTGACCCCAGATACCATCACTGTTGCCAGTCTGCTGCTTGGTGGCATGAGTAATCAGAGGGACTTGGCTTTAGAACTTTTTGTGTGACTTTGTGTCTTTCATAGGGGAGGGCTATGCTGCACTGAGAAAGGAAACTTTTAAAAAATTTGGTACAAACGTCTAAACTAGATGTGCATCTGAGTTAAAGGATTCAGGTTAAATTCTAGAGTTTTAGTGAGGAGAAGGTATCGAGTAGCTCCAGTGTACTGAACTGGAGGTGTAGTCATCCATTGTAGACAGAAGGCATCAAGAGATGACTGTGGACTGTTCTTCCATACTGTGCTGCTTGTGAATTTATCCATGATAGAACCAGAATATAAAAACACTGAATCGTGTGATGCTAGGTAAGCTGATGCCTATGAATACTTTCATGATTCAGTTTCTAACTATTAGTATGAGTTATATACCTTACACATAGTTCCAACAGATGAATTCAATTATTTTGTTGTATTAAAAAAATTGATTGGGGCTTAAAATATTTTTCTTAATATGTACATTTTATTCTGGAATTCTCATTTCATCTGTTTGTTTTTGGTCAGTTTAGTAACCAGATGGGATAATAAAGATCCTTTCTTTTTCTTCTTCTTGAAAAAAAATCGTAACAATTAATGTGATATTCATGAAGTGCTTCAAATTTCTTGAGAGAATATAATGTTAGTCATTTTTATTCATAATTATGAATAATGAAAGCATACTTAATATTATTGAAAGCTTATCTTCAGCCTAGAAGGGAAAAGGATTAAACTCATGAATTGTAAGACATGCGTAAAGCCTGTCCCACTCCCTTTTAGCAAACCTATATCAGAGTCCTGTCAGGGAACAGAATTTCTCCAGATGGTTCAAATATCGAAACTTTAACAAAGGGACTATGACAGAGGTATGGGCAGTGTTAAGAATAAACAATGTCTAGTGAGACATCCACAGACTGGCAACAGGGAAAGCCTTTATCATCCCTAGGACTGAAGAGACAGGTAGAGGAATTACTGTGAAGAGCCCCGTGGGAGCCTGAACCACCAAGGAGGGGCCACCTGATGGTAGCCATACTTGAGGAGCCATAGCTACTGCAAAGAGATGCTGAAGCAGTGGGGGAGCAGAGAGTACCCTCACCTCCAGACTAACTGCCTATGTTTCCCAGGCTCCAAACCCAAACCAAAGCCAGCTGGCAAGACAGCCAGCAGGCAAAGCAGCCAGTCTGCAGTGCAAAGGAAGCTAGAGAATGTATTTGGGGGTGGTCAATGTAGACTAGACTGTCTTCATCTAGGAAAAGGATTCTATAACACTGTGACTAGGACTAAAACACACCCTATACTAGCAGTTCTAAAACTTTTTGGTCTTAGGACCCCTTAAAACAAAAGAGTTTTTGTTTATGTGGGTTATGTCAATGGATATTTACTTGAAATTAAAACAGAAATGTAAAATATTTTATTCACATAAAATAATCCATTATTATATTAACATAGAGAACATTTGAAAAACTAAAATTGCATTTTCCAGAACAAAACAGAAACAGTGGGAAGACTGGTACTGTTTAACAGTTTTGCAAATTTCTTTAATGTCTAGCTTAGTAGAAGACAAATGGGCCCTTACAACTGCTTTTGTGTATAATCTGTTTTGGTATGTTGTTTGGTTGAAATATATGAAGAAAACTCAACCTCATACAGATAAGTTGGAAAAGGGAGAACCTCATGGACCCACTGAGTAGATCTCGGAAACCCTCAAGAGTTCTCAGATGTTGCCTTATATCAATCTTATTTAAGGTACAAGGTCAGGTATATGTTATGAGTAGTTTACTATAGGAGACATGATTTTGAATCACAGGGCATCTACATCCCTGTAATAAGAAATCCTGGCCGGGCACGGTGGTTCACGCCTGTAATCCCAGCACTTTTGGAGGCTGAGGTGGGTGGATCACAAGGTCAGGAGATTGAGACCATCCTGGCTAACACGGTGAAACCTCATCTCTACTAAAACTACAAAAAAATTAGCCGGGCATGGTGGCAGGCGCCTGTAGTCCTAGCTACTTGGGAGGCTGAGGTGGGAGAATGGCGTGAACCCGGGAGGTGGAGCTTGCAGTGAGCCGCGCCACTGCACTCCAGCCTGGGTGACAGAGCCAGACTCGGTCTCAAAAAAAAAGGAAATCCTGATATTCTGAATCATCAGTGTAAAGTGTAGGCCAATCATTGCCTCCCCTGACTATGTAAGCATCTCTAACTGTGATATATGGACTGATTCAGAGAAGTGGACAAGCTCTTTTCATGTCCTCTTTTCCCTTGGAAAACAAAAAGGTAAATACTTTGCCATTCTTAATTTCATTTTTACTTATACGATTGAGATTTTGTGTCTTTGATGATCTTCCTGGATAAAATAAACCTATCAAGTCATTAGGAAAATTGCATTTTTTTTGACTTTGGAGAAAATTGACTTTACAGGATCCAAATTATTCCAGAATTGAATTCCTAAAAGGCCTAAATCTTTTTTAAAAATCGTAACTATTTTTATATTACCTCCTTTTTCCTCATGATAATGATTTCTTGATGACTTTCCCCTTGTTTAGTCAAGTATTTATTCGGGTCTTTGTTGTCACTTTCATGTTGAGAATACTGTCTCCTTACAGAAGTTAACAAAATTGCAAAGAATTGTAAAAATATAAAGTAAACCAAAGATAATGTTCATAAAACTTTTGCACATATAAACTGTTGTTGCATATGTTCACACATAAACATATAAACTATAATCTCTTATGTTTTAATGAAATTGTATCAATGTGGAAACATCTCCACATCTTATAATATTTGAGATTATCAGCGTCAAGGATTCTCTCTCATGTAATGCTTGTTGTTGATGACATGCAGGAACTGTCACAAAAATATATCAGTTTTACATGGGATTAGTTTCTAATTATGGCAAATTTACCACTTAAATATAATAACTTTTTTCCCTAAAGAAAATTATTGAAATATTTTTCTTCTTCCCCCAAGGAGCTACTGCTTTCTGGCATGCCAGAAATTGATGTGAGTGATTGGATAAAAAATACAGAATACACAAGTGGCTATGAAAGAGAAGATCCAGTTATTCAGGTAAAATTTCTCTAGAGCTTAGAATGAAGTTAAGTTTTGCCGTTTAATTTTGTAAGCTTTTCAGCACTATTGGATGAAAACTTACATTAATTAACAAAGTAAAGTGTTTACCCAAATTATTCTTGTGGGAATAGTGCATATGAAAGCTTTGCATGAAATCATTTTTGGTAAACGAGTTTTGTAGAATAAAATGTGCTTTATGAATATTGCATATTTCTCTGGTATTGAGAAGTCTACAATTGCTCTGAAATATGAGCTAAGTTTTTTGTTCTTGTTGTTAGTGGTTCTGGGAAGTTGTAGAAGACATTACTCAAGAGGAGAGAGTTCTTCTCTTACAGTTTGTTACGGGCAGGTAAGCAGTATTTTTATGATAATATGGAAATAATTTAATGTATTCTGCTTTTAATGGCTTAGAGATAACTAAAATAAGGAATTATTACTCTGAATTGTCAGTAACTTACCACCCTTTCCACTGTTTTAGGTATTAAAGAAAGATTTATTTTGGTATTAAAGATAAGACATTTATAGTAGTGAGCAATCATGTTTACTTAATATATTAAAAAGCATCTCCAGTTAGGATTATCAGTATATTGTACTTTATAATTTGGAAATCTTTTTGCTCTGCAGGTAGGTCAATGATAGTAGCCAAATTTTTAATATTTGTATATTATTTTAATATTTTAATATTTGTATATTGCTGGTTTGGTTTAATAGTAAGGCAATTCAGTTTATCCTGGTTAACTCTGTATTACCCATACACAACAGTTTTTCTGTAATTCAAAGTAAACTTTAAAGTGTCAAGATTCATGGCCTAAAAAATAATTTGTGGTACTACACTTCTCTGAAAAGTTCACTTTTGGAACCAGTTAAATATAATAGATATTAGAAAACTAGATGATTTAACCATCTTTTAGCTTGTATTTCTGAAAGATGTAAAAAAAGTCTGATTTTCATTTTGGATAACAGAATTTTATCTTCTATTTATGAAAATGTAGTTTGGTTTTTTTCATTATAAATGTACATATTTCTCCTAGGAAAGTTAGAAAATAGAAAATTAGAATAAGAAAAACCATAGCCCATCAGCCATAACCACTATAAACAATTTAATATATTTTCTTCTATGTTTTTTCTGCATATTTAAAAAGCATAATAGTGAATATATATCTACATAAAATACATATATATAATTTTTTTTTATTATTATACTTTAAGTTTTAGGGTACATGTGCACATTGTGCAGGTTAGTTACATATGTATACATGTGCCATGCTGGTGCGCTGCACCCACTAACTCGTCATCTAGCATTAGGTATATCTCCCAATGCTATCCCTCCCCCCTCCCCCCACCCCACAACAGTCCCCAGAGTGTGATATTCCCCTTCCTGTGTCCATGTGATCTCATTGTTCAATTCCCACCTATGAATGAGAATACGCGGTGTTTGGTTTTTTGTTCTTGCGATAGTTTACTGAGAACGATGATTTCCAATTTCATCCATGTCCCTACGAAGAACATGAACTCATCATTTTTTATGGCTGCATAGTATTCCATGGTGTTTATGTGCCACATTTTCTTAATCCAGTCTATCATTGTTGGACATTTGGGTTGGTTCCAAGTCTTTGCTATTGTGAATAATGCCGCAATAAACATATGTGTGCATGTGTCTTTATAGCAGCATAATTTATAGTCCTTTGGGTATATACCCAGTAATGGGATGGCTGGGTCAAATGGTATTTCCAGTTCTAGATCCCTGAGGAATCGCCACACTGACTTCCACAATGGTTGAACTAGTTTACAGTCCCACCAACAGTGTAAAAGTGTTCCTGTTTCTCCACATCCTCTCCAGCACCTGTTGTTTCCTGACTTTTTAATGATCGCCATTCTAACTGGTGTGAGACGGTATCTCATTGTGGTTTTGATTTGCATTTCTCTGATGGCCAGTGATGATGAGCATTGTTTCATGTGTTTTTTGGCTGCATAAATGTCTTCTTTTGAGAAGTGTCTGTTCCTGTCCTTTGCCCACTTTTTGATGGGGTTGTTTGTTTTTTTCTTGTAAATTTGTTTGAGTTCATTCTAGATTCTGGATATTAGCCCTTTGTCAGATGAGTAGGTTGTGAAAATTTTCTCCCATTTTGTAGGTTGCCTGTTCACTCTGATGGTAGTTTCTTTTGCTGTGCAGAAGCTCTTTAGTTTAATTAGATCCCATTTGTCAATTTTGTCTTTTGTTGCCATTGCTTTTGGTGTTTTAGACATGAAGTCCTTGCCCATGCCTATGTCCTGAATGGTAATGCCTAGGTTTTCTTCTAGTGTTTTTATGGTTTTAGGTCTAACGTTTAAGTCTTTAATCCATCTTGAATTGATTTTTGTATAAGGTGTAAGGAAGAGATCCAGTTTCAGCTTTCTACATATGGCTAGCCAGTTTTCCCAGCACCATTTATTAAATAGGGAATCCTTTCCCCATTGCTTGTTTTTCTCAGGTTTGTCAAAGATCAGATAGTTGTAGATACGTGGCGTTATTTCTGAGGGCTCTGTTCTGTTCCATTGATCTATATTTCTGTTTTGGTCCCAGTACCATGCTGTTTTGGTTACTGTAGCCTTGTCGTATAGTTTGAAGTCAGGTAGTGTGATGCCTCCAGCTTTGTTCTTTTGGCTTAAGATTGACTTGGTGATGTGGGCTCTTTTTTGGTTCCATATGAACTTTAAAGTAGTTTTTTCCAGTTCTGTGAAGAAAGTCATTGGTAGCTTGATGGGGATGGCATTGAATCTGTAAATTACCTTGGGCAGTATGGCCATTTTCACGATAATGATTCTTCCTACCCATGAGCATGGAATGTTCTTCCATTTGTTTGTATCCTCTTTTATTTCCTTGAGCAGTGGTTTGTAGTTCTCCTTGAAGAGGTCCTTCACATCCCTTGTAAGTTGGATTCCTAGGTATTTTATTCTCTTTGAAGCAATTGTGAATGGGAGTTCACTCATGATTTGGCTCTCTGTTTGTCTGTTGTTGGTGTATAAGAATGCTTGTGATTTTTGCACATTGATTTTGTATCCTGAGACTTTGCTGAAGTTGCTTATCAGCTTAAGGAGATTTGGGGCTGATACAATGGGGTTTTCTAAATATACAATCATGTCATCTGCAAACAGGGACAATTTGACTTCCTCTTTTCCTAATTGAATACCCTTTATATCCTTCTCCTGCCTAATTGCCCTGGCCAGAACTTCCAACACTATGTTGAATAGGAGTGGTGAGAGAGGGCGTCCCTGTCTTGTGCCAGTTTTCAAAGGGAATGCTTCCAGTTTTTGCCCATTCAGTATGATATTGGCTGTGGGTTTGTCATAGATAACTCTTATTATTTTGAGATACATCCCATCAATACCTAATTTATTGGGAGTTTTTAGCATGAAGGTTGTTGAATTTTGTCAAAGGCCTTTTCTGCATCTATTGAGATAATCATGTGGTTTTTGTCTTTGGTTCTGTTTATGTGCTGGATTACATTTATTGATTTGCGTATATTGAACCAGCCTTGCATCCCAGGGATGAAGCCCACTTGATCATGGTGGATAAGCTTTTTGATGTGCTGC
Source organism: Homo sapiens (assembly GCF_000001405.40). NCBI lineage: Eukaryota > Metazoa > Chordata > Mammalia > Primates > Hominidae > Homo > Homo sapiens. The sequence goes on along the minus strand of NC_000006.12, from coordinate 104,740,935 downwards.
TGGATTCGTTTTGCCAGTATTTTATTGAGGATTTTTGCATCAATGTTCATCAAGGATATTGGTCTAAAATTCTCTTTTTTTGTTGTGTCTCTGCCTGGCTTTGGTATCAGAATGATGCTGGCCTCATAAAATGAGTTAGGGAGGATTCCCTCTTTTTCTATTGATTGGAATAGTTTCAGAAGGAATGGTACCAGTTCCTCCTTGTACCTCTGGTAGAATTTGGCTGTGAATCCATCTGGTCCTGGACTCTTTTTGGTTGGTAAGCTATTGATTATTGCCACAATTTCAGATCCTGTTATTGGTCTATTCAGAGATTCAACTTCTTCCTAGTTTAGTCTTGGGAGAGTGTATGTGTCGAGGAATTTATCCATTTCTTCTAGATTTTCTAGTTTATTTGCATAGAGGTGTTTGTAGTATTCTCTGATGGTAGTTTGTATTTCTGTAGCATTAATGGTGATATCCCCTTTATCATTTTTTAGTGCATCTATTTGATTCTTCTCTCTTTTTTAGTCTTGCTAGCGGTCTATCAATTTTGTTGATCCTTTCAAAAAACCACCTCCTGGATTCATTAATTTTTTGAAGGGTTTTTTGTGTCTCTATTTCCTTCAGTTCTGCTCTGATTTTAGTTATTTCTTGCCTTCTGCTAGCTTTTGAATGTGTTTGCTCTTGCTTTTCTAGTTCTTTTAATTGTGATGTTAGGGTGTCAATTTTGGATCTTTCCTGCTTTCTCTTGTGGGCATTTAGTGCTATAAATTTCCCTCTACACACTGCTTTGAATGCATCCCAGAGATTCTGGTATGTTGTGTCGTTGTTCTCATTGGTTTCAAAGAACATCTTTATTTCTGCCTTCATTTCATTATGTACCCAGTAGTCATTCAGGAGCAGCTTGTTCAGTTTCCATGTAGTTGAGTGGTTTTGAGTGAGTTTCTTAATCCTGAGTTCTAGTTTGATTGCACTGTGGTCTGAGAGATAGTTTGTTATAATTTCTGTTCTTTTACATTTGCTGAGGAGAGCTTTACTTCCAAGTATGTGGTCAATTTTGGAATAGGTGTAGTGTGGTGCTGAAAAAAATGTATATTCTGTTGATTTGGGGTGGAGAGTTCTGTAGATGTCTATTAGGTCCGCTTGGTGCAGAGCTGAGTTCAATTCCTGGGTATCCTTGTTGACTTTCTGTCTCGTTGATCTGTCTAATGTTGACAGTGGGGTGTTAAAGTCTCCCATTATTAATGTGTGGGAGTCTAAGTCTCTTTGTAGGTCACTCAGGACTTGCTTTATGAATCTTGGTGTTCCTGTATTGGGTGCATATATATTTAGGATAGTTAGCTCTTCTTGTTGAATTGATCCCTTTATCATTATGTAATGGCCTTCTTTGTCTCTTTTGATCTTTGTTGGTTTAAAGTCTGTTTTATCAGAGACTAGGATTGCAACCCCTGCCTTTTTTTGTTTTCCATTTGCTTGGTAGATCATCCTCCATCCTTTTATTTTGAGCCTATGTGTGTCTCTGCACGTGAGATGGGTTTCCTGAATACAGCACACTGATGGGTCTTGCCTCTTTATCCAATTTGCCAGTCTGTGTCTTTTAATTGGAGCATTTAGTCCATTTACATTTATGGTTAATATTGTTATGTGTGAATTTGATCCTGTCAGTATGATGTTAGCTGGTTATTTTGTTCGTTAGTTGATATAGTTTCTTCCTAGTCTTGATGGTCTTTACATTTTGGCATGATTTTGCAGTGGCTGGTACCAGTTGTTCCTTTCCATGTTTAGCGCTTCCTTCAGGCTCTTTTAGGGCAGGCCTGGTGGTGACAAAATCTCTCAGCATTTGCTTGTCTGTAAAGTATTTTATTTCTCCTTCGCTTATGAAGCTTAGTTTGGCTGGATATGAAATTCTGGGTTGAAAATTCTTTTCTTTAAGAATGTTGAATATTGGCCCCCACTCTTTTCTGGCTTGTAGGGTTTCTGCCGAGAGATCCGCTGTTAGTCTGATGGGCTTCCCTTTGAGGGTAACCCGACCTTTCTCTCTGGCTGCCCTTAACATTTTTTCCTTCATTTCAGCTTTGGTGAATCTGACAGTTATGTGTCTTGGAGTTGCTCTTCTCGAGGAGTATCTTTGTGGCATTCTCTGTATTTCCTGAATCTGAACGTTGGCCTGCCTTGCTAGACTGGGGAAGTTCTCCTGGATAATATCCTGCAGAGTGTTTTCCAACTTGGTTCCATTCTCCCCATCACTTTCAGGTCCACCAATCAGACATAGATTTGGTCTTTTCACATAGTCCCATATTTCTTGGAGGCTTTGCTCATTTCTTTTTATTCTTTTTTCTCTAAACTTCCCTTCTCGCTTCATTTCATTCATTTCATCTTCCATCGCTGATACCCTTTCTTCCTGTTGATCACATCAGCTCCTGAGGCTTCTGCATTCTTCACGTAGTTCTCGAGCCTTGGTTTTCAGCTCCATCAGCTCCTTTAAGCACTTCTCTGTATTGGTTATTCTAGTTATACATTCTTCTAAATTTTTTTCAAAGTTTTCAACTTCTTTGCCTTTGGTTTGAATGTCCTCCCGTAGCTCAGAGTAATTTGATCGTCTGAAGCCTTCTTCTCTCAGCTCATCAAAGTCATTCTCCATCCAGCTTTGTTCCGTTGCTGGTGAGGAACTGCGTTCCTTTGGAGGAGGAGAGGCACTCTGCTTTTTAGAGTTTCCGGTTTTTCTGTTCTGTTTTTTCCCCATCTTTGTGGTTTTATCTACTTATGGTCTTTGATGATGGTGATGTACAGATGGGTTTTTGGTGTGGATGTCCTTTCTGTTTGTTAGTTTTCCTTCTAACAGACAGGACCCTCAGCTGCAGGTCTGTTGGAATACCCTGCCGTGTGAGGTGTCAGTGTGCCCCTGCTGGGGGGTGCCTCCCAGTTAGGCTGCTCGGGGGTCAGGGACCCACTTGAGGCAGTCTGCCCGTTCTCAGATCTCCAGCTGCGTGATGGGAGAACCACTGCTCTCCTCAAAGCTGTGAGACAGGGACATTTAAGTCTGCAGAGGTTACTGCTGTCTTTTTGTTTGTCTGTGCCCTGCCCCCAGAGGTGGAGCCTACAGAGGCAGGCAGGCCTCCTTGAGCTGTGGTGGGCTCCACCCAGTTCGGGCTTCCCCGCTGCTTTGTTTACCTAATCAAGCCTGGAAAATGGCGGGCGCCCCTCCCCCAGCCTCGCTGCTGCCTTGCAGTTTGGTCTCAGACTGCTGTGCTAGCAATCAGCGAGACTCCGTGGGGTAGGACCCTCCGAGCCAGGTGCAGGATATAATCTCGTGGTGCGCCGTTTTTTAAGCCCATCGGAAAAGCGCAGTATTCGGGTGGGAGTGACCCGATTTTCTAGGTGCCGTCTGTCACCCCTTTCTTTGACTCAGAAAGGGAACTCCCTGACCCCTTGCGCTTCCCAAGTGAGGCAATGCCTCGCCCTGCTTCGGCTCGCGCACGGTGCGCACACCCACTGACCTGCGCCCACTGTCTGCCACTCCCTAATGAGATGAACCCGGTACCTCAGATGGAAATGCAGAAATCACCATCTTTTGCGTGGCTCACGCTGGGAGCTGTAGACCGGAGCTGTTCCTATTTGGCCATCTTGGCTCCTCCCCCAAATTTTCTTTTTTTTTTTTTTTTTTTTTTTTTGAGAGAGAGTCTCACTCTGTCCCCCAGGCTGGAGTGCAGTGGCTCGATCTGCAACCTCCGCCCCCTGGGTTCAAGTGATTCTCCTGCCTCAGCCTCCCAAGTAGTTGGGAGTACAGGTGCCTGCCACCACGTCCAGCTAATTTTTGTATTTTTTTTTTTTTAGTAGAGATGAGGTTTCACCATCGTGGCCAAGCTGGTCTTGAACTCCTGACCTCAGGTGATCCACCCGCCTCGGCCTCCCAAAGTGCTAGGATTACAGGTGTGAGCCACCGTGCCTGGCCTATAATTTTTAAAAACTGTGTTTTTTATTTTAAAAGTAGTGTTTAATCATTGTAGAAAATTTGGAAAATGGAGAAAATAGAAGAAAATTAAAATCCTTAATGTTAAGTGATCCCACTATTCAGAGATACATACAATTAACATTTTGCTTATTTTTTTTAGTCTTTTTACTGTATAGTTAGAAAAATAGTTGGACTCACACTATAAATCTAATTTTAAAGAATAAATAGGCTGGGCAAGGTACTTCTCTTGCAGTTTGTTACTGCCAAGTAAGCAGTATTTTTATGATAATATGGAAATAATTTAATATATTGTTTTTGTGGCTTAGAGATAACTAAAACGAGGAATTATTACTCTGAATTGTCAATAACTTACCACCCTTCCCACTGTTTTAGGTATTAAAGATTTGTTTTGGTATTAAAGATAAGACATTTATAGTAGTGCCTGTAATCCTAGCACTTTGAGAGGCTGAGGTGGGCAGATCACTTGAGCTCAGGAGTTTGGGACCAGCCTGGGCAACATGGCGAAACCGTCTCTACAAAAATACAAAAATTATCTGGGCATGGTGGCGCATGCCTGTGGTCCCAGCTACTCAGGGTTCTGAGGTGGGAGGATCACTTGAGCCTGGGAGGTGGAGATTGCAGTGAGCCGAGATTGCACCACTGCACTCTAGCTGGGGTGACAGTGTGAGACCCTGTCTCAAAAAATAATAATAATAATAAAAAATAATAAATAAATAAGACATAACTATTAACAGGTTATAGACTAAAAATATAAAAGAAAAACTTTTTTTTGTTTTTGTTTTTTGCCTCTGAATGCCAAGAAATACTCAGAGGCTTGAATAACTTAATAAAAAGGATGAAAAAATAATTATATTTTTTATGTAAGAAAGTTGATAATTTGACAATTCAGATAGGAGAAAAAAAACCACTTCCAATCTGTATTCCTAAAAATAATCACTGATAACATTTTTGTTATTCTTCTAGAATTTTTAACACATATACAATTTTTACTTTTAAAACTATTGTTATTTTATAACTTTTTGAATTTAGCAATATGTTACTAAATTTATAGATCTATGTAATTTTTAATGGCTATCTAGTTTTATTTTTAGGGACTTCCTTTAATTGATTCTTTATTGCTAAATTTTCCTATTTATGAATAAGGAATATTTTGTGCTTCTATCCTTGTGGGACAGTCTGATTATAGAGGATAAATTCTTAGGATATTTTTGTGTATGAGAATATATAAATTTTTATAATCTTGATATATATTCATTTATCTTCTAGAAGGGTATTGATGTCAGTAGAGAATGAGAGAATGTACTCCTTTTATCAGCACAGGGTATAGTCATTTTTACTTTTTTTTTTTTTGAGACGGAGTCTCGCTCTGTCGTCCAGGCTGGAGTGCACTGGCGCCATCTCGGCTCACTGTAAGCTGCGCCTCCTGGGTTCACGCCATTCTCCTGCCTCAGCCTCCCAAGTAGCTGGGACTATAGGCACCCGCCACCATGCATGGCTAATTTTTGTATTTTTAGTAGAGGCGGGGTTTCACCTTGTTAGCCAGGGTGGTCTCGATCTCCTGACCTTGTGATCTGCCCGCCTCGGCCTCCCAAAATGCTGGGATTACATGTAGGCGTGAGCCACCGCACCCGGCCCATTTTTACTTTCATATAATTTATTTTATATAGTTTTTTGTGTGTGGTATGAATTACCTATCTTTATTATTTGGTATTCCACAATCATTTTTAAAAATTCAGTTTTAAGTGTTGTTTATATATTAGGGGTATTAACTCTGCAAATAGTTTTCTTGGTGTATCAAAGTTAAATATAGAGATTTCCATGTAATTTAAATTTATAACTTGAAAGTTTTAAATTACGGTATTGCCAAATTGATTATCATTGCTTTCCTTTGTGGTTTTTGTAAATCCTTCCCTACTCCTAAGATTTTATATATATGTTTATATAAATTTTTTAATGTAAGTTTTTATAATTTCTGTTTTTACATTCCAATTTTTAAACCATCCGGACCTTATTTTGATTTATGTTGTCAAGTATATTTTTCTAAATGGTTTATACTTCAACACCATCTAGTGAATTACTATATTTTCCCCATGATTTGGTCAGTATGAGTCTTTAAGATGCAGAAATCAGTTATTCAAGTTTTTTAGTACTAAGTTGTCTCTTAGGTGGCTGCTCCTATAGAGTAAAACACTAGAATTAGTAATATGCAAGCCTTCTCCACTTTAAATAGTACAGTCATTCTTAGCAATGCTGAAAAAGAGGTGTGCTATTTATTATTTAGTTATGAAGTGTGGCAAATCCACACTTGAATGGAGGTGAAAGATGTGGGTGAAGAGTAGAAGCCAAGGAAGCTGAGGGGAAACAACACGGAGCTAGCTTCACCCTTGGATTGAAGAATTCACCTTTCAACATTGAGTGTAATTAGAGCTCTATATTTTGAGTTCAAACTGAGAAAGTTTTAAGCTTTTTAAAATCTTAAATTTTACCTCGAACTCCCAGTCATTAGTATAGGTATAGTACTTGTCATTCAAAACCAAAAGTATAAATTTTTTTTCTTTTTTAATTTTTGGATTCTGTATTCTGTATTCTGTATTAGTTTATATTTAGATACTGAAGTATCTTTCTACAGGTCTGTAGTATAATTTAGCGCAACCTTACTGAAAAATCAAACGTGTTCCAATTGTTGAACCAAGAATTAATACAAAAAGTGATTTTTAAATATTTTTATAGTATTGACATTAATATTTTGTTGCTCTATAAGGCCATCTTAAATGTTTTACTGTTTCATTATCCCTTAAGAATCAGACTTGATGATTTCTTTTTTTTTTTTTTTTTTTTGAGGAAGAGTCTTGCTCTGTTTCTCAGGCTGGATCTCACTCGGCTCACTGCAACCCCCGCCTCCCAGGTTGAAGTGATTCTCCTGCCTAAGCCCTCCCGAGTCGCTGGGATTACAGGCGCTTACCACCATGCCCAGCTAATTTTGTATTTTTAGTAAAGATGGAGTTTCACCATGTTGGCCAGGCTGGTCTCGATCTCCTGACCTCAAGTGATCCACCTGCCTTGGCTTCCCAAAGTGCTGGGATTACAGGCGCGAATCACTGTGTCCGGCTGATTTCTTTTTTTTCTCTTTTCTTTTTTTTTTGAGATGAAGTCTTGCTCTATTGCCCAGGCTGGAGTGCAGTGGTTGATCTCAGCTCACTGCAACTTCCACCTTCTGGGTTCAAGCGATTCTCCTTCCTTAGCCTCCAATTACAGGTGCACACATCACTTCGCCTGGCTAATTTTTGTATTTTTAGTAGAGACGGGGTTTCACCATGTTGGCCAGTCTGGTCCCTACTGATCTCAAGTGATCCACCAGCCTCGACCTCCCAAAGTGCTGGGATTACAGGCGTGAGCCACCGCGCCTGGCCAATTACTTTTTAAATAAAATAGAAATATGCCATTTTTGTTTACTGTAATTTTATACTGTATAATCTAAGTGTCATAATATTCAACCAAAGACTGTTTTATTTATTTTTCTCATATATACTTATGCCTGATGAATTATGATCTTAACATGATCAGATCTGATTATATAAGTATGGGGCCAGCCATATTTATTCATAGTGTAGGAAAAGAATAAGGTTTCAGGAATGGTTTATCAGCTTATAGAATAATTTTAATTAAGATGTTAAAACTAGAGGATCTTCTGAATTTTTAACTTACCGTTCAAAATTTACTTGTGTGGAGGACATTAGATTGATCATATTGATATTGAAATACTGTGCTATAATTTGTATAAAAATCAATGTCAACATTTATTTTCTCATCTTGCCTTGATAAAATAGTTACATTTAATTTGAAATTCGACATCATAGGAAATTCAGAACGACTTGATTTTTATCCCTTTTTATGTTTGGTCACGTTATTAATTTTTTAGGCAAAAGTTAAATCTATAAATTAACTAATGTTGAATTTTATTTCAACTTACAAGGAGATATAGCCAGGTCTTCTGTATATATTCTCTTGCTGTTAATAGGAATTGTTTATGCATTAGTGTCTTATAAGCAAGATTCAGGCATACTTTTAATGTTGCCTTGGTTTATTAAAGTAAGCTCAAGAATTTCATCAGTAAACCAAACCAGACGACTTCCCAGATAGAAGAGAAAATTGCTGTTTTTAGGGATTCTTTCATATTGGATTGTTAAATGTTTTTTTCCCTGTGGATGTATACATATCAGTGATTTCAAATAGACAATCCTGGTGCATATTTTCAACCATTTGTGTGTGTGTGTAAATGCATATCATAAAATGTATCATTTAAACAATTTTTAAGTGTACACTTTTGTGGCATTAAGTGCATTCACATTAATGTGTGACTATCACCACCATCCATCTTCTGAATTTTTTCATCTTTCCCAACTGAAACTGTACTTTAAACACTAACTCCCCCTCCTCCTTTCCCACCCGCCTCTAACAACCACCAATTTTATGTCTACGAATTTGACTACTCTAAGAACTTCGTATACATGGAATCATACAATATTTGTCCTTTTGTGATTGCTTTATTTCACTTAGCATAAGGTCTTCTAGATTCATCCATTTTGTAGCACATATCAAAATTTGCTTCCTTTTTAAGGCTAAATAATACTCCCTTGGCTAAATAATAATCCAGCCATCTGTTGATGGACACTTGGGTTGCTTCTACCATTTGGCTATTGTGAATAATGCTGCTGTATGCGCAGATACTTCTTTGAGTCCGTGCTTTCAGTTCTTTTGGATATATACCCAGAAGTGGAATTGCCTGATCATATGATAATTCTGTATTGTAATTCTGTTAATTTTGTTGAGGAACTTGCATACTGTTTTCCACAGAGGCTGCATCATTTTACATTCCCAGCAGCAATTTCTCCACATCCTTGCCAATACTTGTAATTTTCTGTCTTTTGTTTTTTTGATTTTTTGCCGATAGTCATCTTAATGAGTGTGAAGTGGTTTTGATTGGCATTTCCCTAGTAAATGGTGATGTTGAGCATCTTTTCATGTGCTTATTGGGCATTTGTTTATCTTTTTTTTGGAGAAATGTCTTTTTCAATTGTTTGCCCATTTTTAATCGGGATTTTTTTTTTTTTCTATGGGAATTCTTTGTATGTTCTGGATATCAATTTGGTGTCATATTCAATAAATCGTTGCCAAATCCAGTATTATGAAACTTTTCCCTTATATTTTCTTCTAAGAGTTTTATAGTATTAGCTCTTAGATTTAGGTCTTCAATCCATTTTGAGTTAGTTTTTAAGTAACTTAGTGTAAAGTAAGGGTCCAACTTCATTTTCGTTGTAGTGAATATCCGGTTTTCCCAACACACTTCGTTGAAAAGACTGTCTTTTCCCCTTTGAATGTTGTTGGCACTCTAGTTGAAAATCATTTCATTATGTATGTGAGGGGTTATTTCTGGCCTCTATTCTGTTCTACTGGTTCATATGTCTCTTTTCTTGGCAGTATCACACTGTTTTGATTACCACAGCTTTGTAATAAGTTTTCAAATCAGGATATGTGAGTCTGCCACCTTTGTTCTTTTTTTTCTAGACTGTTTAGGCTATTTGAGGTTCAACTTTTTTTTTCAGTGACCTAAACTATGCTTTATGTTATAAATCATATTTTTAAGAAAGTATTTTAAATTTTATTCAGATGTTTGCAAGTATGTATTTAGTAACCTATACATTAAACGTTCCTTTGTCATTTTTCTAATTTATCCAAAAAGCACTACAGCACCTCATTTTAAAAGCAATAGAATTTTTTTTTTGTATCAGTTTAATCATGATATGATACACGGGCAAACTTTAGAAGAAATATTAATTTTCTTTTTGATGTGTATAGAACTTGAGAAGTTGTAATTACATCCTCTACAGCCATGTACCCAAGATTAAATTTTCTACTGATGTGTTATGCATTATATGTTAGCCTTCCTGTGGCCTCATTATGTTAGATGATGTTTGAAAAATATATTTGATATTCTGAATATCAAATCAAAGAGGAACATAAAGAATTTTTCAGTTTTTCCACTATAAAAAACAAAACAAATCTTTAGGGCCTAGATATTTTTCACAAACAAGGAAATCATTTGGATTACATGTCAGAGCATTTATTGCTTGAATTAGTCAATCGAATATTAATCTATTCAACAAACATTTAATGAATGTCTACTCCAGGCATTTTGCTAGCCCCAGGGATATAGATGTAAATATGACTTGTTTGGGCCCTCAAATCAGCCCCACTTCAATAGAGAGCCACATGAAAGCAAATAATTGTAAATGTAGCATACTAAATGCAATATTGAGGTATGTGCTGTGGCCAGTTGCAAGCATAGTATAGCTTATGGAAATGTGGAGGGGTGTCTCCATGGAAGCTTGCTAACTAATCACAAAGCAACTTACAGTAATGAATTGGAGTTTTGTAGACTAAAAAGTGTCGTGTTGTCATTGTCCTAGAGTTGGATATATTCCTACCCTAACTTAGAACTTGAAATTTATCTGTCACAAATATCTTTCTTTCATGATTACAATGTATTAAGATATAAACTCTTAGTTCCAGGGTCCCACATGGTGGGTTTGCTAATATCATGGGTGGAAGTGGATTGCAAAACTTTACAATCGCTGCTGTGCCATATACTCCAAATCTTTTACCAACTTCAAGCACATGGTATGTTGACTTGGTTTATTTAAATGCTTTACAAATTGTTTTGATTAATTTTGAATGATCAGAGATCTAACTGTTGCTGCATTGGGAGGAAAACCTCAGCTGTGATCTCTCTCCAGGATTTTGGAATCACTGATGAGTAATTATGTAGTTTTTTGTGCCCCTGTTTTTGGTAGGGAAAATGTTTGAGGAAGCCCTAACTCCCTACAATTTAATTGACTATAGTTCAAGTATCACTAAAGTTACACTACCGTAAGTAGCACTGAGTTACACACCATCACTTCAAACTAAATTGCCCTATTGCTTATTTATTTTAAGCTGAAAGGAACGTATTTTCTTCCACTGCATTTGCATGCTGAAAGAAACTGCAATGCAGCAGATTTTTTCTTCTTTTTAAATACCACTTTAGGGTTTTTCAATCTGAATGCAAATTTGGGAGGATGATTTTATGTTAATTATGAGTAGTGTTTTCACTGCTAGGCAAAACAATCAGAAATTTTATAGATTTCCTGTTTAATGGTGGTATATTTTTCTTTTAAAGCATCAACATGCTCAAGTTACCTGAATACCCAAGTAAAGAAATACTCAAGGACAGACTTCTTGTGGCACTACATTGTGGCAGCTATGGTTACACAATGGCATAATGAAGTCTGGAAAACTCCTCTGACTACTGATGCACAATTCAGAATGGCAGAAGTAATTTGGGAAAATGTCAACAAAAAAGCAGCCTAAATGCAACCCATAGGCAGGGCTGATGCTTCCAATTTATAAAGGATCATCAGGTTTTCTGTTTCTCTCTTTTCCCTTTTATGTTTTCTCTGTTTGTGATACAATTAGAAAATATAAAATCACAGTAGATTTTATTTTTTAAAATGCTAACTGAAAGTAATAGAGACTGTCCTTTTTCATAATTAATTTTATCCAAGATTGTATTAAGGCAAAATCTGATTCTACATTCCACCTCTGCTATGTAACTGTCTTGTTAAAAGGGTGTTTTCTCCTAATTTCTGATATATTATATGAGGTCATCCAGCTGGTGTGTTCTTTTGCATGTAAACTGCCATTTATATTTTAGAAAACTATTGTATAGAATGGATTTAGATTGTCTATAAAGCCACAAATACGTATTTTGCCACAGTGTATTCTATATTGCAATGATTTTTTTAGCATTTTAATATTTTAATATATATTGTAAAATTTAGACTGATGATACTAACAGTTGATGAAATGACATATAATTTATATATGAAAGCTTACGCTATATTGTATGAATTATTTGCATCTTTCAGTGGCCAGTTTTCCATATGTATATATTATGGTCTCAATGTTTTTCTTACGCCTCATTTTAATTTATAATGAAGGTAAAATTAAAATGTATTTTACCACGTTTCTTTTCATTACTTTTATCTGTGAGCTCTGACACATCTGAAAAAGTAATCTGATGTGCAAATTATAATTTAAATATGTTAATTTTTTTGCTTCTTAAATTTGCTTTTCATCATTAAAATGTCAAGTTCAAGTGATATGTGCCTAATATCACTTGGATGTTGGTGGGTTTTTGAATTTTTGGGTGGTTAATCAGTTTTATTTTGAAAAGACGTACTTGAATAGTTACAGCATATGTTTGAACAGGAAGTAGGAACATGCATACACGAAGAAATGCTAACGGAAGGATTTGTTATGTTTAGGATCTTCCCTTGGAAACTAAAAATAGAATATTAATGACATTACTGTTTGTAGAATGACATATGCAGATTTTCTCATAAGCAGTCATTGTGTTTGCCAGTAATGTTTGAGAGACATGTAAGTTGAAAGTTTTGCTAAATTATAAAGCTCCTTTAATTCGTTGGTTTTGATTCTCTTATTCTCTTGTCTTTTCTAAATGTTAACAAAATATATCTTAACAGATTACATGAAATTTAGGAATTATTTAAAAGTTACCATTAGCTCTAAAATTAAGATTCGGATGCTTTATTTATAGTAACTGAAGCTAATAATGTTTTATGTTTTGATTTTTTGAAATTTAATTGTAGAAGTCACTGCCTTCTGAGTTTTCAAATAGATAACCACCTTTAATATTACACTGCTTATAATACTAATGTTTACAGATATGTTTCTGTTTATAACCATATAATACATTGGCTTTGTCATATTAGTTTTTTTTGCAAGTAGTTATGTAAAAGAGATAGATAATAAAATATTAAATAACTGAGTGTGGTGGCTTATGTCTGTAATCTCAGCATTTCGAGAGGCTGAGGTGGGAGAATTGCTTAAGACCAGAAGTCAAGACCAGCCTAGACAGCATAGGCAGACCCCATCTCTACAAAAAAATAAAAATAAGCTGGGCATGGTGGCATGTGCCTGTGGTTGGAAGGCTAGGTGCGAGATCGCTTGAGCCCAGGAGATCGAGGCTGTAATGAGACATGATCATGTGACTGCACTCCAGCCTGTGAGACTTTGTCTCAAAAAAAATATATATATGTATATATTCATATACATATATATGTGTGTACATATTCATATACATATATGTGTGTACATATTCATATACATATATATGTGTGTATATATTCATATACATATATATGTGTGTATATATTCATATACATATATATGTGTGTATGTATTCATATACATACGTGTGTATGTATTCATATACATACGTGTGTATGTATTCATATACATACGTGTGTGTGTATTCATATACATACGTGTGTGTGTATTCATATACATACGTGTGTGTGTATTCATATACATACGTGTGTGTGTATTCATATACATACGTGTGTGTGTATTCATATACATATGTGTGTGTGTATTCATATACATATGTGTGTGTATTCATATATGTGTGTATTCATATACATGTGTGTGTATTCATATACATGTGTGTGTATATATATTTGTATACATATACATGTGTATATATATTCGTATACATATACATGTGTATATATATTCGTATACATACATGTGTATATATATTCGTATACATACATGTGTATATATATTCGTATACATATATGTGTATATATATTCGTATACATACATGTATATATATTCGTATACATATATGTGTATATATATTCGTATACATGTATGTGTATATATTCGTATACATATATATGTGTATATATATTCGTATACATGTATGTGTATCTATATACCCATATATATACCCATATACATATATATACACACACCCATATGCATATATATAAAATAGTATTTTAACCATCAATTTGAATATTTTAAAATATAGATCTGCTTATTTTAGGATTTATTTTTTCACATTTTTAAAATAAGAGTGTAGTTAATATAAAGAGATTTTACAAAGATTAAAAATACTATTTAGAGGTAGCATCTTTCTAATTTACTCCATTCCCACAATTTCTTCTGTATGTAGATGGATATGTTGAATGCAAGGTAGTATAGAAAAATGGTTAGATTTTCTCCTTTGGGAAAAAGATTATATTAATAGGAAAATGACTCAATTCTTAAAACATGGTAGTTTCATATAAGGAAGAAAACAGAAATAAAACACTCGAATATAAAGCAAGGGAATGTATTATAGGAAACTGATTAATGAAACTATCTGGGCAGAGTAGATTAAGTTATCCAAATAGTTTGAGGAGATAGTTATTAACCACGTAGTTAATAAAATCCATTTTCAAGTTAACCCCAAAACAAAATGTAATAGAAGGAAATCCCAGCTTGGAAATAATCTGCTGAACACAGCCTCTACTATTCAGGCAGTCTTTTGGGTATCGGGAAACGCAAGCTTTAAAGGATAGCTCACAAGTTGGAGGCCCAGGAGATGATTCCTACTCACATGTTTTGTTTGTCATACTGTTTCTAAAATTTTGAATGAGTTACCAAGATTTTACAAAACCTGAAGATTTCATGCAGAAGTCAGGAGTTTTGGGTCCTTTTGAGCAGTGAGACAATCTGACAATATTGGGTGCATGGGTGCATATTCCTGCAAAGCATTATGGAATTGAGTAAATGCTGCTGCTTTGAATAACTAAATGCCCTCTCCAGTTTGCCATTTCCTCCTCTCTCTCTCTCCCCCCTCCCTCCCCCCTCTTTTTTCTACCCTCTTTTTTTTTTTTTTTTTTTTTTTAACTCTGTTGCCCAGGCTGGAGTGCAGTGGCATGATCTCGGCTCACTGCAACCTCCACCTCCTGGGTTCAAGTGATTCTGCTCCTCAGCCTCCCGAGTAGCTGGGATTTTAGGCATGCACCATCACACCCGACCAATTTTTGTATTTTTAATAAAGACGGGGTTTCATCTTGTTGGTCAGGCTGGTCTTGAACCCCTAGGGACCTCAAGTGATCCACCCGCCTCAGCCTCCCCAAAGTGCTGGGATTATGTCACCACACCAGACCAGTTCGCCATTTTCTTAGCCCAGCATGCTTCACTACTCTATGTTATCTTCCTGGCCATTGAAAGCACTGGAGTCTGCTTTAAAGAATCTATGTTGATCAGAAATGTTCCCTTAGATTGTAAATTGGTACAGATTCTTTGGAAGGCAATTTGGTAGCACCACCAGATTTTTTCAATGTACGCATAGTCTTTGACACAAAAATTCTAAGAATTTATATCTTAGGCATCCACTTGTTCATGTATATAAGGATATTTGTCCAATGATATTCACTGAAGCCTTGTTCGTGATAGAGGAAAACAGAATAACTTCAGTGTCTATCAGTAGGGGGCTGACTAATAATGTGTTACAGCCCTAGAATAGAATACTAATTGGTATGTATAAAGAATGAAATGTATCAATACATACTGATATGTAAATGTTTCTAAGGTGTTAGTGAAATAAAGTGTATAGAAGAATGACTAATGTGAAATAGAATATATATGGGATTACATGCAACAAAAATTTCTGAGGAGGTGAATAAGAGACTATTGCTATATCTGGGAATGAGTTGTATAGTGGGATGGACTTCTCCCACTTTGTAACTTTTTTTTCCCTGTTTCTCCAAATCATATGCCTATGTTATTTTCTGTATGATACATTTACATATATATGTGTGTGTGTATGTATATACACATACATATATATAAACATCCACTATCTTTAATCCAGAAAAGAAGTATCATTAATAGGTTTTTTGAATCTATAAAGTGCCATAAACAGTATTTTATGTAGTGATAAACAGTATTTTCATAATCACAAAACTTATAATTTTGTTTAGTGTGTTTAATTTAAAACAAGTTTAATTGAACTCTTTGTAAACAGTTAAAAAAAAAAAAAAGGAATGCTCTCTTGCCCACAAAGTTGTTTCCACGTTGCCTGATAATTAGCACTGTTTTTAGCTCTCTCTAATTCTACCAATTAGAGATTTATGAACATTTCTCTCCCTTAACTTTTTTAAATAACAAAAGGGGTACTTAATATGGGAACATCTGCAAAGCATAGATTAGTGTACGAACTGGTAAAAAGCAATAAATTATAATTCTACTACCCAACAATTGTGTTATATTTTCTTCTATAGCAATTCATTTTTTACACAGTTGAGTTCATAAAGAATATAGCACGTAGTATCTTCTTTATTTACTTAGCATTTTGTTTTAAACATTTTTCATGTCATTAAAACTTTTTTAATTAAAAAAAGTGCGTTATCTAGAGATGGAGGTCTCTCTGTATATGTTGCCCAGGCTGGACTCGAACTCCTGGACTCAAGCGATCCCCCCACATCAGCCTTCCTAGTGGCTGGGACTGCAGCTGCATGCTATTGTGCCTGGCTTGTTTGTAAACATTTTGTGGAATGGTGGCATAATGTTTTGTTGTATGGATTCATCATAATTTACTTGACCATGTCTCTAAAATTAACATTTAGATTTCTAATATTGTTGCTTTTATAAATAACAGGTAGCCTCTTAAAAACTGCTTATAGTCTAGGAGGGATAATATTGTCTGGGTTATTTGTTGAAATGTCCATCAATTGCTCTGTGGTCATAGAATTACTACTTGAAGGCTCAAGAAAGGGGTGTTGGAAGGAGGAACCCTTTGGTAGGTAGGACAGCAGCACAGTTAGGGCTAAGTGCCCTACCAGAGTGTAAAAAGTTATAAAGGGAGCCAAAGCTGTGTGATGAAAGTAAATTATTTTAATCATTGCCAACCTCCAGTCTCCTACCCAAGAACAGGGGAGGAAACTTATCTTTATGACACAAGCCCCATTCACAGGACTCAGCACTTGAGCACTTGCTATTATAATATATTGTATAGTTCAGCTATGTCAAGGATCATTTATGCTCTTGTGAGCTGAACTAGGAACTTAGCCTTCATTTATAACGTTTCCAAAACTTAGACTTACAAGCTTTTGGAGTGCAACCCTTTTGTCAATTGCAGAGTGTGTAATAGTTGTCTTTATGAATAGGTGCTTAGCTAATAATGAAATTTTGAGGCCAGATACAGTGGCTCACGCCTGTAATCCTGGCATTTTGGGAAACCAAGGCAGGAGGATTGCTGAAGGCCAGGAGTTCAAGAGCAGCCTGGGCAACATAGTGAGACCCCTGTCTCTGTAAAATAAAAAAAATATAAAAATTTGGTTATTTTTACCACAATTTAAGGTACATCAGTGTGTATCAGCAGTCAAGATTTTTTCATGTGAAACATGTTTCTCTGTTCTCCTGCACTTCCACAGTTCTTAGACAACAAAATTCACTTTTAAGGTTAACAATAGCAACAGAAATTCCAATGTTATTGTTTGTTTTAAGCTATTTTAATGTGAGCAGATTTCTGTTAGAATGTCCTTGGTAAAAGTCTTAGGTACTGAGTTATTGTAACCTGCCTACTGGTCTGGTGTAAATTGGCACATACTTATTTCTTCAATTTATAATTAGTCCCTTCACTTTACAGGTGAGAAAATTGGAGACCCAGAGAGGTGGTGACTTGTGCAAGGTTTCTGGGATACTTGTTAACCAAATGAGAATTTAAAACTTAGACTTTCTGATTCTTAGTCCACTAGGGTTTCTGTTATTCCATGCTGTCTTTTTATGACATAACTGCATTATAAAAATACTTTTAGAGAAACACCTGCAGCCTATTAATAGTCATGTATGACAAGCCTGTTGAGAAACTATAACTTAATAAGCTGATACTTAAGAGTGATTAATAGGACTGTATTTCTTCTCTCTCACTGTGCCACAACAAGCTAGTGTGGGTATTTTATCATCTCAAAATTAGAAAGAACAGATGTATTGTCAGATCATAGATCATGGGTAGTCATTAACTTTTATTATCTTTATAAAAATGTTTAATTTCAAGCATACTTGGTGCTTCAAAATATATTGTGCATCTAATGTTGCAAAACCATTGAACTATAAACTGAGAATCTAATGACTATTACTATATGTAGTACTTGTGTGAGTGAATCGAGTCTGTTTGACTGAAATGGAGGAAAGTGGTCCTGAGTGGGTGCTGGATATATAGTTAGTGCAGAAAACTTTTCAAATCAACAAATTCCATTGACTGCCTCCCATGTACTTAACCGTGGTTTAGGGACTGTGACCCAGTATTTACCCTTAAAGGAAATAAAATTCACCTGGGTAGGTGAAAAGTATATTTGAAACAGTTTTAAAAACTGTGCAGTATAGCATATGTTTAGGTGTAAAAAACCAGCTACAGAAACATTGGCGCGGCGGCTTGATGTAAACTCTGTGTCCAGTGCAGCTTCAGGTATCTGGCTTAAGTGAATTGCTACATTATTCTCTAGATTTAGAGACAAGTAAGTTGACCAACCTGTTGATTGAGCAAATAACTGAAAAGGATAAAAAATGCTAACCATCGTAAAATAAGGCTAATGCGTGGCAGTCATTCATTAAATTGTTCTCAAATTTTTCATTGGTGAATTATTAGCTTGCTCAGTTCCAGCTTCTGGGCATTCCTTGAGAATTTGATATCCTGGTGGTTTTCATGATTTGGAGACTGTTATGTGTTCATATAGCAATCATATTTGGAGATGGCTCTACATTTTTCTCAGAAGATTGGCTTCTTGAAAGAAGCTTATTGTAGGAGTGGGGAGAATTAATTAAAATGGTATGTGTACAGTGTTCCTTTATATAATATTTCTGTTTTCCTAGTATCTAGGAATAGAGAAAAAATAAATTGGTATTCAAATTCCAAGATTCTATATACAGTGGCCTACTTTACATCTTCACTTGGATGTTTTTTTAGGAATCTCAAACTTTAAATGTGTCCAGAGAGGAGCTCTTGTTTCCCTGTGGTCAGCTGCCATCTGTCACCCCATCCCAGTCTTTCCTGTCTCAGCAAATGGGTACCACTTAATTGCTCCAGCCAAAACCTGAGATGATGACATCTTCTCTTCCTCTCATCTAGTGTATCCAACCCATCACCAAGTCTTGTTGAACTTACCTGTCTAGTATATATTTTAAATTAGCCAACTTTTATTACCCTTGTCCAAGCCACCCACCTTCAGTTTCTCAGACTGCAATAGTCTAACACAAAAGAGGGCAATATAGCGCTATGGCTAGGAGCACAGACTGAGGGGCTAGACTACCTGGATTTGAACTCCAGCTTTGACTCTATTAGCTGTTGTCAAGGGCTCAGCTGAGCTGGGAGAGAGATGAGCTGTTAGGTGTTGGAGTAGCCAATTAAAACAAGCCAAAAATGAAAGAGTTAAGTCTTAAATCGCTGTGATGGGATAAGCAAGAGGCTAAAAGGGGAGAAGTCACCGACTTCCTGTTCGATGTCCCCCAAGGAACTGTGCACTGATTGAGGATTAGGCAGATAAGTACAGACGTGGGGTCATCTCATTGCTGAAGGAACCCTGTGGTTTTATGGACTCGGGTTGAGTACAGTGAATGAGAAGTTGGGGAGGAGGGTGAAGGGGGAGAGCTGGGAGTTGAAAACTACTGGGGACTGAGTCAAAGTGGGGAAACGTGTTTTCAAGCCTCCCCACCATCACTCCCCTCTCCTCCCCTTTTGTTTGAGAAGGAGTCCTGCTCTATTGCCCAGGCTGGAGTGCAGTGGGGTGATCTCGGCTCACTGCAACCTCTGCCTTCCGGGTTCAAGAGTTTCTCCTGCCTCAGCCTCTGGAGTAGCTGGGATTACAGGCGCGTGCCACCACACTCGGCTAATTTTTCATTTTTAGTAGAGACCAGGTGTCACCATGTTGGCCAGGCTGGTCTCAAACTCCTGACCTCAGGTGATCTGCCTCCTTGGCCTCCCAAAGTGCTGGGATTACAGGCGTGAACCACCGCGCCCGGCCCAAGGTTTCCCCTTCTTAGGGAGGCTTTGACAAGAAGATCTTTGCCCAAGGCCTCAGGTAAAGAGACTTAGGAATGAAGGTGCCTGGGCTAGTAATGCAAATATGTTTGTATAAGAGCGTCGCTGGGCCGGGCGCGGTGGCTCAGGCCTGTAATCTCAGCACTTTGGGAGGCCGAGGCAGGCGGATCACCTGAGGGCAGAAGTTCTAGATGAGCCTGGCTAACATGGTGAAACCCCGTTTCCACTAAAAAAAAAAAAAAAAAAAAAAAATTAGCTGGGCGTGGTGGCACGCGCTTGTAATCCCAGCTACTCGGGAGGCTGAGGCAGGAGAATAATTTGAACCCGGGAGGCGGAGGTTGCAGTGAGCTGAGATCTCGCCATTACACTCCAGTTTGGGCAACAAAAGCAAAACTCCGTCTGGGGGGGGGGGGAGGGGGGCGGGGAAGAGCGTGGCTGCCCGGGAATTTCTGAGTTTGACTGCAGCTCCCTCCAAAGACTGCAGTGCATTTGCTGCGCACCAAGTCCATATCCGCAGGTTCCACAGGGCCCACGGCAGAACTCGAGTATTCACAGATTTTGAGGTCCTTGGGGGTCCTAGAACCAATCCCCCACAGATACCGAGTGTAATAGAATACTATTCAGCAATATAAAGATACAGGCAACAACATAAAAGAACCTCAAAAGCAAGACACAAAAGACAGCATACTGTATGACATTTTAGAAAAGGCCAAATTACTGGAACAAAAACCAGATCAGTTGTCATCAGGGGCTCAAGATTAAGGGAGTACTTTACAAAAGGACACAGGGGACTTTCTAGAATGATTAAAATGTTCTGTATCTGGATCGTAGTACTGGTCACATGGCTGTGTGCATTTGTAAAAAGACATCAAACTAAACTTTAAAAAGGTAAAGTTTATTTCTGGCCAGGCGCAGTGGCTTCACGCCTGTAATCCCAGCACTTTGGGAGGCTGAGGCAGGTGGATCACGATGTCAGGAGATTGAGACCATCCTGGCTAATACGGTAAAACCCCGTCTCTACTAAAGATACAAAAAATTAGCCGGGCGTGGTGGCGCATACCTGTAGTCCCAGCTACTCGGGAGGCTGAGGCAGGAGAATGGTGTGAACCTGGGAAGCAGAGCTTGCAGTGAGCCGAGATCGCCCCACTGCACTCCAGCCTGGGCAACAGAGTGAGACTCCGTCAAAAAAAAAAAAGTAAAGTTGATTTCTATAAATTACACTTCAAGAAAAAAAAAAAAAAAAAGAAAAAGAAAAGAAAAATCTATCTACTCAATTCACAGAAAAGGCCTGGAAGTTTCAGAGGTATACAGAGGGAAAACATGAGCCATAAGCTAGAAAAGGAAGTTTGTTACATCTGTCTGACAGGATTTCTCTGCATAAAATATTAACACCTTGTTAATAAAATTATTAAGTAAAGCAATCTCTTTAAGAAATGAGACCTACACACATATAATCAATTGATTTTAAACATGTTCATTACCTCCCAAAGTTTCCTGCTGTCTCTTTATTATTATTTTTATTTTTTGTGGTAAGAACACTTATCCTAAGTTCTACCCTCTTACTAAATATAAGTATACATAGGATACTGTTAGCTATAGACACTACATTGTCTGGTAGATCTCCAGAACTTATTTATCTTGCATAACTGAAACTTTATACCGTTTGACCATGATTTCCACATACCCCTCACCCGTGTTAGTGCTTTTTTTGTCCTATGGCAGAAATCTTTTTTAAAACATTTAGTCATGAAAATGTTTTCCAATATTATCTTCTCAAACATTTTTGGTTTTCCCATTTAGATCTATAATCCACCTGGAATAGGTATTTTTATATCTTTTGTGAGGTAGGAGCATGTTTCCTGTCTATTGATTAATTGACCTGTCATCTATTTAGTGTCCATCTGTGCATGGGTCTGTTTCTATTGTGCTGCCTTGGTCTACTGTCCTTGTATAGTCTCTTAATTACTATAGCTCCATAAGTAAGTCTAGATATCTAGTAGTGCAAATACTCTTGTCTTCTTTTTCTTTTTGGGATCTTCTTGACTTTTTGCGTTTCCATAGAAATTTTAGAGTCAGCTTGCAAAATTGCACAAATGATCCTGTTTTACAGTGAGACTTACAAAACATTGAATGAACAGCCAATTCAAGTTATTCCATAAAAGAGGGGATGTGGAAAAGTGGTGACTCATTTTATGAGGCTAGGGCAATTCTGATTCAAATTCCAATAGGATAATTTTTAAAAACTACATGCTTATTAGACTTACAGATATGCTTATGAAAATTCTAGTGAAATATTGGCTAATTGAATCCAACAATGATGAATTAGGTTTGAGTTCAGAAGTATGTGATGGTTCAGCAATGGAGAATCAGTGTAGTCTGTTATTGATACATATTTGGAATAGGGAGAAATCCTATGATTACATCAATTGCTGTAGAAATAAACACTTGATAAAACTTCAGCCCCTCTTGTTAATAAAAACTATAATAAAATTCAAAATATAAAGGCATTTCCTTGATTTTATAAAGACAATATATCACAAATTCTTCAGCAAATATCTTGTTAATGGGGAAACTGCCCTTCTCATTAAGATCTCTTTAAGATTGTTACTAATTGACATGATACTGAAGGTTTGACCAATGCTATGATGTGAGAAAAAGAATTAAGAGTTATCAGGATTGGAAATGAAGAGATGAAATTGAAATTCTTTGCAGATGTTATGATTTTATATATATAAGAAATATGTGGAATGAGCAGACTGTTGGAACTGTTGGGAGATAAGAATGATAGCATTCATCTTTATCAGCAGTAACCAAGCAGAAAATGTAATTGGAAATTAGATGCTACCTATAATAGGGGCTAAAGCTGTAAAGTTTCTAAGAAATAACTTTTCAAAGAACACACACAAAAAAATCTACAGATAAAACCTTGAAACTACTTAAAGGAATTATGGCCTGAGAGTGGGGAAAAACATAAATAAGACTCCAAAAGCACAAACCTTAGGATGAAAATTGATTACTACAAAATTAAGGGTTTTTTTTTTTCTCACTTGAAGGATATCACAAAGTTAACAGAAGATGGCAGATCGGGAAAGATATCCATAATGTCTAAGTCCAATGAGGGGTTAACATACAGAATATATAAACAAATCTTGCATAGTGATAAGAAAGACAGGAAACTCGATAGGCAAATGGACAAAGGATATGGCTATGCACTTTATAGAAAGGTAAGTCTGACTAGCTAACAAGTATATGAAAAGATGCAAATCAAAAAAGGCAAGTTTAAAATAAAAATTAGATTCCATATCAGAATAGCAAATACAGTATTAGAAAATAGAAAATACCAAATTTTAGTGAGGATATAGCACAATGAGAACTCTTGAACCAGGCTGTCTAGAGTGTTAACTGGTAGGGCCATTCTGGAAAGAATTCTGAAAAAGTTTAGTGAAATTCAATATGTATGTACCTATGACCCAACATCTCATGCTTCATATTTCCCAGAGGAATTTTACACATGTTCATAGGGGGACACTATTATTTGTTTATTTGTGGCCTTATTTATGGTAAACATTTAGATTGCCTCCAGTTTTTACTATTAAAACAATATTGCTGGCCGGGCGTGGTGGCTCACGCCTGTAATCCCAGCACTTTGGGAGGCCGAAGAAGGTGGATCACCTGAGGTTGGGAGTTCAAGACCAGCCTGACCAACATGGAGAAACCCCGTCTCTACTAAAAATACAAAATTAGCCAGGTGTAGTGGCACATGCCTGTAATCTCAGTTACTCGGGAGGCTGAGGCAGGAGAATCACTTGAACCCGGGAGGTGGAGGTTGCAGTGAGCCGAGATCACACCACTGCACTCCAGCCTGGGCAACAAGGGTGAAACTCTGTCTCAACAAACAAACAAACAAACCACAAAAAAACCCCAATATTGCTTTGAATATTCTTTTACATCTATATACGTGCCAGAGTTTTTCTGGTGGAATTGCTGAGTCATAGTTAATGTACATCTCCAACTTTAATAGATGATCACAATTGTTTTCCAAAGGGGTGATACTCTCTAGCAGTGTCTAAGAGATGTGGTTTTTCTAGATTCTTGCCAGCACTTGAGACTGTCAGATTTACAAAATCTTGCCAATACAGTTGGTGTCAACTGGTATCGCTGTATATTTTAATTTTCATTTTCCCAATTATTAAAAAGTTAAGCAGCATTTTTATAATTTACTGGCCATTTGTGCTTCATTCTATGAAGTGCTTTGTGGCAAAAAATATAACCTGTATGATATCAATCCTTTAAAATTAGTTGAATTTCGTTTCACGGCCCAGAATGTGTTCAATTTTTTTTTTTTTTCCTCGAGACGGAGTCTTGATCTGTTGCCCAGGCTGGAGTGCAGTGGCATGATCTCAGCTCACTGCAACCTCCGCCTCCCGGGTTCAAGCAATTCTCCTTCTCCTACCTCAGCTTCCTGAGTAGCTGGGATTACAGATGCCCACCACCACAACCAGCTTACTTTTGTATTTTTAGTAGAGACGGGGTCTCACCATGTTAGCCAGGCTGGTCTCGAACTCCTGACCTTGTGATCCGCCCGCCTCGGCCTCCCAAAGTGTGGGGATTACAGGTGTGAGCCACTGCACCTGGCCGAATGTGTTCAATTTTTATAAATTACTGTTTCAGCTTGAAATGCTTCTCCACTCTTTGAGTAAAATGTTCTATATACGTCAACAGGTAAAGCTTGTTAACTGTATTGTTCAAATCTTCTATATCCTTACTGATATTTTTCTGCTTTATTGAGTGAGCTTTCAACCACTGAGGCGTGTTAAAATCTTCAGCTTTACTGGTACGTATATATTTTTGCTTGTAATTCTTTTAAGTTTTACCTTCTATAGCTTCAAGCTATATTATTTAGAACTTAGTTTGGAATTTTTATATCTGGCTGGTGAATTTAACCTTTTTTCATTATTTAGTTTCATTGTCTTTTGCCTTAAAGTCTATTTTGTTTGATATTAATATAGTAATATCAGCTGCACTCTGATTGTTCATATTTTAAATATATATATATTTTTAAACTTTTATTTTAGGTTCAGGGTTACATTTGTGGGTTTGTTATATAGATAAACTCATGTCATAGGGGTCTGTTGTACAGATTATTTCATCACCCAGGTGCTAAGCTTAGTACCCAATAGTTATTTTCTTCTGATTCTCTCTAAAATATGTATATATTTTCATCCTTCTAATTTCAACCATTTGTTATCCTTATGTCACAGCCTTCTTTTTAACATACCTCAATGGTGGATTTAAAATTTTTTATTCAATCTGATAATTTTAACTTTTAAATAGGTTTATTTTCCCATTTGCATTTATTTATTGTACATTTATATTTATTTCCATATCTTAATTTATGTTCTTTATTTGTTCAGCTTTTCTATGTGTTTTCTTTAGCAATTTAGGATTTGTCAATCTGATTTGAGTCATTCAATCTGGAAAATTCATCCATTACTTCTTTGAATATTGTTTCCTCAAAATTTCCTTATTCTGTCCTTCAGGAATTCCAGTTTGACTTTTGTAGATATTTGCACTCTACCACCTTTTTCATATTTTACATATGCTTATGTCTCTGTTCTGCATTATGCAAAATACTTTTATTTGTCTTCCAGTTCATTAATTCTTTCTTATACTGTATCTATTCTTTTGTTTAACCACCCTTTAAATTTTAAATGAAAATGATTTTTTATTTCTAGAAGTTCTATTTGGTTATATTTTCCAGATACTTCTGTTTGTGTTTTATAGTCTCTCGTTCCTTATTCATATTTTAAATTCTCAAGCAGGTAGCTTCTTGAAGTAATCCCAGGGGACAGGAGTAGGGGACTGGAGAAAGTGAAACAAGGAAGAAGAGAAAGCCAACACAAGAGTGCCTTAGATATTGTCCACTATGGGCAAGTGGGGCTTAATTTCATCAGGACCTTTTGAAGAGCTGACATCTCAGAATTGTCCACCAAGAGTGAAAGATGGGACTTACGTATTAGCTTTCATATCCCATCAATCAAAGATTGCCCCAGGGATGACAACGTCCCTGTGCTTCCAGATAATACGGGTATGAGTGCTAAATTATTTCTGAAGGCTTCCTAACTGATATCAGAGAAGTGCAGGGACAGAGCAAGAAATAAGTGCAAAGCACTACCAGGTTATGCCCCTCATTCTCTATAGTATAATTGCACTACTTGATGTCTTTTGGGGTTTGATTCTTATGATTATAATTTCTATTGGCTCTACACTCATGGTGCTTTGTTTATTTGTGTTTTATTGGAGCTTATTCTGCTCTAAGCTTTTATTCTTTGCTGGTTTATCTGTGGGAATTGTTTGATGACTGATTTTAAGTTTGACTCCTTTCCAGTGGATTTGCTTTTTGATTCTGCCAAGTGTCTGTCAACCTAATAATAGGCAGAGAGAGATTCTCCAAAGACAATCAGTTTATTTGGGAATGTACAGGGGATTTGCAAATGTGGGGTATGTGGACTATGGGGACCAGAGTCATATCCAAAGTGGTTAAGGCAAAGGGAAGGTTTTAAAGGTAAAAGAGAGAAGTACAGGTAATTTGTTTTTGTTTTGAAACAAAGAGAACATTGGTTACTGGGGCTTATTTCAGGAGTCGAAGTCAGTTCTTTAGTGGAGATAGTGTGTCAGGTAAGTGTTCTTTTGCATCCTGCTCTCTGTCCTTGTGACACATATAGCAAGCTGCAATTTTGAAAGTCCTTGGCAAAAGTTTTTGTTACAGGCATATGTGCATGAGGGCCCTCACTCAGTCTTATCATAGGCTTGTGTATGTGAGGCTCTCTTTTCTTAACCTCCTATCTTATTTGGGTTTGACACAAGTGATTCCATCTTGATATTGACAACTTTCACACATCTGAGTGCATTTCCAACAAAGAACGATTTTAAACCACATTCTTAACCTGAAATTTTGGGTGGAATTTGGATTAGAAACCCAAATGAAAGTCTGTTTTGTTGTTATGAATTCTTTACATTGAGGTCTCTTATTAGACTCCCCGGCTTGGGCAGGCCCTGGACTTTGCCTTGTATCCCCGTATCCTATGACCTTATAAAAAACAAAAGCCAGGGTCATCAAGGATCAGTGCATATCATTAGAGTGAAAACTGACTTTGGTGTTGAGCATGCCTCTCTAGGTCCACATTTTCATGTAATTTTAGGCATCTCAGTGTTCCTTACCTCCTGCCAGCTTATCAGCACATCTTAAAAAGTTTTTTTCTTTTAATTTTATGCATCAGTTTTGGGTGTTTTTAGTGGAAGGGTCAATCGGACTAGGTTGTAATACTGCCTGAAATGAAAATATTCATTATTGTATCGTCAGAAAACGAATGAAATTTCCCGTAATTCAGAAAGCCATCTCAAATTCATTATTAGCATCACATCATTATCAGAGCACAGGTTGGCTAATCAGTTTGCCTAGGACGGAAACTTGGCTCTAATATTTACTAGCTGTGCGGTCACAGGTAAGTTAATCAACCTCCAATTGTCTTGGTTTTCTCAGCAGAACAATAGTACCTACTGCATAGGCTTGTGATAAGCATTTAATAAATTAATATATATAAAGCATCCAGATTTATGGAAAATATTAAGTGCTCAATATATATTAGCTAACATAATTATTATTATTCTTTCAAGGTTACCTTTGAGCCAATCTACTCTTTCATTGCCCTTTGATTGAACTAAGTGTATATTATTATTTCTCTTAAAACAATCCTCTAACTGTTAATAAGAGGAGGTCATTCTCAAATAACACCTAGCCCATCTCTTAGGGAGAATTTTCAACCCTGCCCCCAACCAGACACCACTCAGCAAGCTGCTTCCCCATTTGCTGTCTTCGTTTCCTTATCTAATGTTTGATAGGGTTGTCTGTGGGAGCAGAGGGACCCCAGCAACCAGACCCCAGTCAGGCACAGGACTCTCAACACTGCTATCCCACTCTATCCCCTTACTTGTTCCCTACCTCATTGTCCTAGCCTGTTTTGTGCTGCTATAACAGAATACCTGAGTCTGGATAATTTATAAAAAATATAAATTTATTTCTCACAGTTACAGGGGCAGGGAACTCAAGATCAAGGAGCTGGCAAGTTTGATGTCTGGTAAGGTCCTGGTCTCAGCTTCCAAGGTGACACCTTGAATGCTGTGTCCTCCACCAGTGGGGAAATGCTGTTCCTTACATGGCAGAAGAGCAGAAGGGGATGAATTCACCCTCAAAAGCCTTTTTTTTTTTTTTTTTGAGACCGAGTCTTGCTCTGTCGCCCAGGCTAGAGTGCAGTGGCATGATCTCGGCTCACTGCAACCTCCGCCTCGCGGGTTCAACCAATTCTCCTTCCTCAGCCTCCCAAGTAGCTGGGATTACAGGCACCCACCATGGCGCCTAGCTAATTGTTGTATTTTTAGTACAGACAGGATTTCACCATCTTGGCCAGGCTGGTTTCGAACTCCTGACCTCATGATCCACCTGCCTTAGCCTCCCAATGTGCTGGGATTATGAGTGTGAGCCACCGCGCCCAGCCAACAGCCCTTTTATTGCAGCATTAATTCACTCACAAAGGCAGAGCCCTCATGACGTAAACATTAGACCTCCAACCCCCAACACTGTTGCATAGGTGATTAAGTTTCCAGCACGTGTTTTGGAGGGGACAAACGTCAAACCTTACTACCCAATAACCCTAACAATAGAACAAAAACTCTAATAATATGATTTAAAGCATTGGAAAGACCTTAAAACCTGAAACCATCAGATCGAAGTTTGCGTCTTAGTTCTGTCACTTACTAATAATGTAAATGATGTAACCATCTACTCACCTCTCAGTGTTGTTGTGATAATTAAACAAGGTAGAGTTCTTAAAGTTCTTGGTAACTGCAAAGCCCTACATTGGTACAGGTATTATTAAGAGGTTGGAGACCCTGTTTAAAAGATAGGAGGTGAGGCTGGGCTTGGTAGTTCACATCTATAATCTCAGCATTTTGGGAGGATGAGGCAGGAGGATCACTTGAGGCCAGGAGTTTGAGACTAGCCTCAGCAACATAGCAAGACCCCAGTCTCTATAAAAAAATAAGTAAATTAGCCAGGGGTGGTGGCCCATGTCAGTGATCTTACCTACACAAGAAGCTGAGGCAGGAGGATTGCTTGAACCCAGGAGTTTGAGGCTGGAGTAGACTATGCTCGCACCACAGCACTCCAGCCTGGGCAACAGAGCGAGACCCTGCCTCAAAATAAATACATAAATAAAAAGCTAGGAGGTCATTATAAACAACAACCACAACCCTTTATTTTCATCTAGGAGAATCAAGCATACTGTTGATCAGTGCTTGTGAGGACAGTGGGTTATGCAACTTGAAGCCCAGTTGCTGTAACATCATTAAACATGAATTGACATCACCACACACAAGAGTGTGCTCCTCTACCAGACTAAATGCAGTGATCATTATGCACGAGAGGCTAGAGTGTGTGTGTCAACACAGAGTTCAGCTGTATGTACTTATTCCACTAAGTACTTGTGACACGCTATGTCAAGAGTTCAGTGGCTGAGTTTCACATAGGGCAGCGTGACTCATCGGGATTATTAGGATCCTCCTGGAATAACTTCCCTGAGTTGATTGTCTTTGACAGATCAGTTTGCTTAGATTAAAAAGCAATTGCTGCTGTCTAGTCAAATTTAAACACTTTGGGTGGAAGAAGCTGAACTCTAACTCTGTCTAGTCTATAGAAACACCTTGATGTGAAAATTACATCGAATGTAGTGAAGAAAAAAACTGAGTTAGCAAGACTCCAGGGTATGGTTTTGTAATAACATAAGGACACATAGGTGCCAAACACAAGTGACCCCAGGCATATGTGAAGGAGGCAGGAGTACATTGCTTTTAATAGCAACTTGATCTGTGCCCAATGTACTGCTAAGTCAATAACAATGTTTGAGGTACCACTCTGCTCTGCGTTCATGTAACATTGACCACCAGTAGAATCTGGATAGAAAAGATTTGTCTTCTGGGAAGAACAATGAAAGGTATTTTGGAATCTAGGCATCTCTCTCTTTCCTCTTTCTGAATGGACTCGGGAATTTAACAGAAGAAACAATAGCATCAAGGGGAATGAAATAGTAGTATGCTAAAATCCAATTCCTGTTTTAAAAAGCTGAGTGGAACATCCACTTTAAGTGAAATTTAAGCCTAATGCCTGAAATTACATTCCCAGCCTGCATGAGCTGTAGATGAAATGGAAGCTGAGATGACATTAAGCTGACAACCAACTTATCTGTGGTGGATCAGCAAATAAATAGAGTTTTGAAACTAGTATGAGCAAGATTTCATACATAGCCTCACTTTCATCACAGCCTTCTTTTATGTTTATGTTTCTTGGTCTCTGTGACTGTAGAGGCTAACTGGGATGCTCAAAGTGGAGAAGATGAGAAGCCGGGTTTGTTGGGCTCCTCTCCCCTTAGTATAAGATCCCCTAAGGGTGTAATCCTTACATAGACCAAGGCTACAGAAAGCATTGGTTATACGGAATTTTAACTGTAGTAAATTTGGTGTCCATTATCCTCACAACAAAGAGCATTGCTACCCTTTCCATCTGTTAGTATATTCATGGAGTTATGCAACCATCACGATTATCTAAGTTTAGAACATTTTAATCATCCAGAAGAAACCCAGGTATCCATTAGTAGTCACTCCCATCCCCCTTTCCCCAGTCCTAGGCAACGACTAATCTACTTTCTGCCTCCATAGATTTGCTTATTGTGTACATTTCATTTGAGTGGAATAATATAAGATGTGCCCTTTTGATACAAGTTTCTTTTACTTAGCATAATGTTCTGATAACTCATCCATGTTTAGCAATGTAGCAGTACTTCATTTCTGTTGCTGAATAATTATATATTAATTGTATGAATTAGAGAACATTTTATCTACTTATCAGCTAATAAAAATTTGTATTATTTGGCTACTACGGATAATGGTGCAATGAACACTCATATACATTTTTTTTTGTAGAAGTTTGTTTTCATTTCTCTTGGGTATATCCCTAAGAATGTAACTGCTGGTCATATATTAGTAGTAACCCTATATTTAACTTTTTTGAGCAATGACCAACTGTTTTCCAAAGGGCTAGAGCATTTTACATGTATGAGAGTTCCAATTTCTTCACATTTTTTGCTAACTTATTATTATCTGTCTTTTTGATTATAGCCATCCTAGTGGGCATGAAATGTTATCTCACAGTGGTTTTGATTTGCATTTCTCTCGTGGCCGATGAGGTTGGTTGTGTTAGTCCATTTGCATCGCTATAAAGGAATAACTGAGACTGGATAATTTACAAAGAAAAGAGGTTTATTTGGCTCAAGGTTCTGCAGGCTGTACCTGAAGCATAGTGCTGGCATCTACTTCTGGTGAGGGCCTCATGAAGCTTAACAATCATGGCAGAAAGCAAAGGAGAGCCAGCATGTCACGTGGCAAGAGACAGAGCAAGCAGGGGGTTGGAGTTGGGGTGGGAAGGTGCCATGCTCTTTTAAGCAACAAGATCTCATATGAACTCATCACCACTCATTACTGCAGGGAGGGTACCAAGCCATTCATGACAAATCCACCCTCATGACCCAATACCACACATCAGGCCCCACCTTCAACACTGGGGATCACATTTCAACACGAGATTTGGAGGGGACAAACATTCAAACTATATCATTGGATGAACATCTTTTCATGTACTTAGTGGCCATTTTATATCTCTTCTTTTGGAGAAATTTCTATTCAAATCCTTTACCCATTTTAAAGCTGAGTCGTTTTTATTATTGAGTTGAAAGAGCTCTTTATATATCTTCAATACCAGTCCTTTTATCAGATACATGATTTGCAAGTATTTTCTATCATTCTGTGGTTGTCTTTTCACTATCTTGAAGATATTGGTTTCAGCATAAAAATTTTAAAATTTGGTGTAGTCCAATTTATCTATATCTTTTTCTGTTACTTATGCTTTTGGCATTGTATCTAAGAAAACATAGTCAACCAAGGACAGAGATTTATATCTAAGTATTCTTCTGAATTTTATAGTTTTAGCTCTTACATCTAGGCCTATAATTCACTTTGAGTTAATTTTTGTGTGTGGTTTAAGGAAGGAGTACAACTTCTTTTGCTTTTCATGTGGATATCCACTTGTCCCAGGACCATTTGTTGAACAGACTATTCTTTCCCCATAGAATCATCTTGACACCTTTGTTGAAAAATCAATTGGCCATAGATGTATGAGTTTATTTCTGGACTCTCAATTCTATTCCATTGATCTATATTCTTATCCTATTCCAGTCTTGTATTGTCTTGATTACTGTAGCCTTGTGGAAAATTTTGAAATCAGGAAGTGTGAGTTCATCAAAATTGCTTTTCTTTGTGAAGTTTGTTTTGGCTATTCTAGGTCCCTTGCATTTTTATATGAATTTTAGTATTATCTTGTCAATTTTTGTCAAAAATATAGTTGAGATTTGACACGGATTGCATTGAATTTGTAGATAAATTTGAGGACTTTTGCCATCTTAACAATAACAAATCTTCTAGAGACCCACAAATACAGGATGTCTTTCCATTTATTTAGGTCTTCTTTATTTTAACAATGTTTTGTAGTTTTCAGTGTACAAGTGTTGCATTTCTTTTGTTAAGTTTATTCTTAAGTACTTTATTCTTTTTGGTTCTATTTTAAATGGAATTTTTCCTTAATTTTACTTTCAGAATGCTTACTGCTAGTACATAGAAATAAATACAACCAATTTTTGTATATTCATCTCAAGTCTTGCAAACTTGTTGAACTCATTTGTTATTTCCAATAGCTTTTTGTGAATTCCTTAGGATTTTATATGCACAAGTTCGTATTATCTGTGAAGAGAGATAGTTTACTTCTTCTTTTCCAATATGAATGTCTTATTTATTTTTCTTGCCTAATTGCCCTGGCTAGAACCTCCATTATGATGTTGAATAGAAGTGGTGAGAGTGGACATCCTATTCTTGGATGGACATCCTCATCCGTTCTTGCTCTTATGGGGAAAGCATTCAGTCTTTCATCATTAAGTGTAATATTAACTGTAGGTTTTCATAAATGCTGTTTTTCAAGTGGAGGGAGATACCTTCTGCCATGGGTTGAATGCGTCCCCTCCCAAATTCATGTTGAAACTTAATTTCCATTGTAATGGTATTAAGAGATGAAGCCTTTTGGAAAGTGGTTAGGTCATGAGGGCCTTGCCCTCATCAGTGGATTAGTGCCTTATAGAAGGATTGGGGGGATCTAGCTCAGCAGACCTTTTTGCCCTTCTACCTTCTACCATTTGAGGATACAGCGTTCACCTCTTCTGCCATGTCAGGATGCAGCAAGGAGGGCTTCACAGACACAGAATGAGGCCTTCCCAGCCTCCAGACCTGTGAGAAATAAATTTTTATTGTTTATAAATTACCCAGTCTATGGTATTTTATTATAGCAGCACAAATAGACTAAGGCATCTTCTATTCCATTCCCAGTTTGGTAAGTGGTTTTATCCAGAAGGGTTGTTGGACTTTGTTAGATACAATACTTTTACTGTGTCTATTGAAATGATCACGAGGTCTTTGTCATTTATTCTGTTTATATGGTTTATTACACTGATTTTTGTTTGTAAACAAACTTTGTTAACTTGCATTACTTGGATAAATCCCACTTGGTCATGGTGTATAATCCTTTTTATATGTTGCTGGGTAAGTTTGCTAGTATTTTATAGAAGATTTTCTAACTTATATTTACAAGGAACCTTGGCTTATAGTTTTCTTTTTTGTGATGCTTTTGCCTGGTTCTGGTATCACAATAATACTGGCCTCATAGAATGAGTTGGGAAGTGTTCCCTCTTGTTCTATTTTTTTTTTTAGAAAACTGCAAAGAATTGGTATTGTTTCAATGAGTGGTAGAATTCACTCAGAGAAGCTGTCTGGTCCTGAGATTTTCTTCATGGTAAATTTAAAATTAGTAACTTACGCTTTTTATCTGTTACAGATTTACTGAGATTTTCTATTTCTTCTTGAGTCTTGTTTTGTGTTTGCATTTTCTAGGAGTTTTTCCATTTCATCTAAGTTATCTAATTTATTGGTATATGGTTTTTCATAGTATTCCTTTGTAATGCTTTTTATTTCTGTAAGATTGATAGTGATCTTTCTTTTTTTCCTGATTTTGGTAATTTGAGTCTTTTTCTTTGTCAGTCTACACAAAATTACAGTAGTAATTTATCTATAGGACTTTTATGTGTAGAGTTTGCTTTAATACAGGAATTAAACAAAAATTCCTGAAGGCATTTCTTCTCATTTCTTGGTCTTCCCAGGATGTAACCTCCCCGTTTTCTCTCTACCATGCTCATAAGGATTGCTTACTCCTTCCTTTTATCCCCCAGTTATGCCATCCTCTTCTTTGTCCTTCAGGACACAATTTTGATCTCATATTCCAACATCTAATCAAATCAAGGGGTCCAGTGAAGTACATTTCAATGTCTGTGTGTGTTTCTTTGGTGTCTTTGCCCAATCTCGTGTAGCACTACTGACTCCAGCCTTTTTATTTTAAATTATCACAATTCAGAAATTCACTTTACTTCATAGACGTATTCTAAGTTTCATGCTTGGGAAGTCTATTTTGTTCATGCCATTTGAATTCAAAGTTTAACAACAAACTTGCTGCATCATATTTAGACACCCAGGATTTTGTTTCTGGAAGGATTTTAGAGATTATCCAGGATTAAGCAGCAGCCACTCAGTACCAGTCAGTTGTTGCCAGATGGGAATGAGAACCTACTGTGGCTGGATCTTCTCATTAAAACAAACAAACAAACATAAATCTGGATATTCGTGGGAAACCTCCAAATTTTTAAATGAAAGCAATGAATTAAAAACTCTTAAAACTGTGCTAACGTCAAGGACCCTGTTCTTTTAGTTTATTTGTATCCTGTTTTGTCCTCAGCACGCAATGGATTGGTAATGTTCTTGAAGAGTTTAGTTTAAGGAATTCTAGGAGATTATAGGTCTTGCTGTATCTTAAGAATGACATAAACAAAAAAAAGTTATTATCTTCCGCCCTTTAATATAAATATAGGCTATTTGGAACCAGATGGGTATTAAGAAGCTATGTGAGTGAACTTTCTTCCCTCCTTAAACTTTTACACTTGATTAACTAGTCATTTATGAAGTTGGATCTTCAAAGACACTTTATATTAGCCCTGGGAGTTGTCCCTTCTACTCAGCTAGAAATTGAAGTGATACTTTAAAATTAAGCATCTGTTCTCCTATTCAGCTCAAGCTTTAAGGATTGGTGTCTTCTGGAAGTGAGGTGTCCATAAAGAAGCATCCTGGGCAATTTGACATTCATAGAAAATGGCTTGGAAAACATGCCCATGGTGAGTCCAGCACCATTGTTCGAGGCAAAACTGTCAACATGTTTAAAGCCATCCTGGGAAATGACTAAAGACACGCACATTTTAAAAACTGAAAACGAGTGCTATTTGTTTTGGAGCTAGAGATAGAATACCCCTTTTGATCTTTTTCTTTTTCTCCCTGGCTGATCTCGGGATTTGATTTCTCTATTCAGAAAAAGAGCGTGGTTGAACATTTTGCTCCCTTAAGAGTTTCTGAGCCCTTAACAGCTGACTGGCATAGTCCATAGTTTCCTGATACCTTTCTTAAGATTTCCTTCCTGAGGAAACTGTGTCTCACAGAGGAGGAACGACGCCTCTGACCACATCCTGCTGTTCTTGTGTGTGGTTGAGCAGTTTTTATCAGATCTCAGGGAAAGGCAAGGTGAAGTCACCTCCTAACACTTCTCTTTTTTCCCTATAGACGTTTAGAACTAGAAGCCTTAGAGCTGGCACAACTGGATGTGTAAATATGTTTTGCCAAGTAAGGAGATCCATTTAAACAGGGACCATTTAATGGTGAAAATGAAAATCTTGAGCATTCAGCCTGGGAGATGACTGATGCTGGAGAATGCCAATAAATGTATAAAAATCTCTCTATTGAAAAATCAAAGTGCTTTTACATCCTTGTCTGTGACTTCTGTTTTTAATCCATTTAGGCAATGTTGATTTTTTCTCTCTTAATGAATAGCAATTGAGCTGTACATTTTACATACCAGTAAGTGACTACGAGATGCTTTTGAAAATTAGCCACCAGCAAGTACATTTCACATCTGAAGCAACATTTTGGCAGATGGACTCAGCTTAAAATTGGGACTG
This sequence comes from Homo sapiens, assembly GCF_000001405.40. Lineage (NCBI taxonomy): Eukaryota > Metazoa > Chordata > Mammalia > Primates > Hominidae > Homo > Homo sapiens. The sequence continues at coordinate 104,704,784 of NC_000006.12, read as the reverse complement.
CCGTGAATAGTCCCAATTTCAGAATCAAGTTAATTCCATGTGGAACCCCACCAAACCTTTAGGCATTAAACGGAGCATGGTGTAAATCCTCGATGTGTACATTGCACTTGATGAGATGGCTGGCCATCCTAGTAAAAAGTGAGTCCAGAGGCTAGACATCTGGTGTGGTTGTTTTTGCAAAATACATTGTCACATTGCAGCATATAGAAAAATAATAATTGTCATTCTCTTTTGCCGCCATTCCTCCCAGGAGTGTGTTTTTGTCTGCTCTCCTGTCAAAATTATGTTAAACAGTAAAAATAAAAAATATGCTTCATAGTTTTCCAAACTTATCTTTCTCAGTTGGTTGCTCTTAAGGAATGTGACTTATGACCTCTACTTTTGGATGCTGCAGTTTCTTTCTTTCTCACGCATATAAGTAAGGTCTGCTCACAGGGTAAAGGAGGAGGATGTATGTTTTTCCAATGCCGACTTTCTTTTATTACCTGCTTGTATTTATATCAAAGAACATGTTGTATTTCCTCCTTTTCTGAAAGTCACTTACTCCACTTCATTTTGCTTTCCAGTTCTGGTTAATATTTATTATTTTGAAGTCTTAGTTTTATTTTCGTAAACGTTGAGATCTGTGACTTCAAATTATTATTCATTTACCCATTATAAATATCTTTTTTTTTTTTTTTGAGACAGTCTTGCTCTGTCACCCAGGCTGGAAGATAGTGGTGCAACCTTGGCTCACTGCAACCTCTGCCTCCCAGGTTCAAGTGATTCTTGTGCCTCAGACTCCCGAGTAGCTGGGATTACAGGTGTGCACCACCATGCCTGGGTAATTTTTGTATTTTTCGTAGAGACAGGGCTTTGCCATGTTGGTCTCGAACTCCTGGCCATGAGTGATCTGCCCACCTGGACCTCCCAAAGTGCTGGGACTACAAGCATGAGCCACCGCGCCCAGCCCATTATAAATATCTTTTAAGTGTTTAATTTACTGGAGTATCAAAATACTTAAATTGATGAAGCTAGTATGGCTTGTTTACCATGAATTCTAACTTTGAGATGTTCTGAAAGTGAAGTTAAGTAGAATGTAATGATTTGATCCATATATCTCACCTCTTCAGTCCAAGGGCTGTAGGTTAGAAGTTAGAATGGGAAAGGAGTAGAGGTGTTTTTTCGTCTCTCTTCTGTCTGGAAAACTAACCCTATCCTGTTGTACATTTGTCAAATCCTACTTGTCCTTCAAGCATCTTGATACACTGGTAGCATTAATCATGTATTATACAACTCCTTACACTGATGCACTATGAAAAGCTTCTTTCATGCAATGTTTCTTTAAATATAGGAAGTTTTAATGGACATTTGGGGCCATGCTTTCAATTACACTTTGAAGAGACTTTCCCCAAATTGCTACTGTCAAAGAGAACCCTATGTTAAAAAAGAGGGGACAGAGCAATTTATATCAATGAAAAAAATTTCTAAACTTTATTGCAATCACTGTATTGTTCACCAACAAAAAGGTAGACTGTATTTTGAAGGCTTCTACTAGAGACTGCGCTGCCACTTGGCTGAATTGCCGTGGCTTTACTGTGAGTGAATCTCTGCCCCTAAAATGAAATCTCTTCCTTAGTGTGGTTATAAGTTTTCATTCTTTCATAATAAATCTAGCCCAAAGACATTTCTTTACTGTAAATTTGCCTCCACAGAAGTGCTCATAAACAGTATCTGCCTCCATTACCTGTGGTAGACCCAAGTTTGACCATTTTGTAGAGTAAGCATATGCACTAAGAATCAATATGTGTTTTATTAGCACCAAGAGACTCATTGGATTGCTTTTTTTTCTTTTTACCTTTATGGGCAATTGCTATAAAAAGGTAAATTAAAAAGTTAACCATCTGCTACCTCACTTTTCATTTAAAATCTTTTATTTGATTACTCTTTCCAGGTAATCAATGCTTTCTATTTTGCTATTATGCTAGCTAGTGAATGAAGGTGGTTTTCACTTATAGCTTTTATTTATCTAACGGTATTGTCAGAGTCACAGTCTTTATGCGTCCTATTAGTAGTCTGGAAAATATTTCTTACTACATCGAAACAGAACAAAATTCAATTTAGAAATATAATTTCCTGCCATGGAGACACTTGATAACAGGGGGGAGATTAATGGAGCCCAGTGACAGAAACTTGATTTAAGGCAGGAGATTAATACTGCTTTATCAGCCTACACTGCAAGTGAATTGGCTCCTAAAGAAAAAAAATCTGTTTGAAGTTGCTGAGTTGTCTGCTTGTCGGTTGGAAAAAGGTCCCTGGACATCTATTTTGTTATTGCTGAGTATTTGCTGCAAGCTTGTCTATTTGACAACATAGGAACAAACCTGCTCACAACACCAGTCTTGCTTATTTTACAGTAGTAACATGTTTCTTATTATTCCTTTTGATCCCACAGGAAGCTTGGATGCTGTGGAGGTCAGCCTCTGACTTAAGGGGATTATATTCAGTAAATAATGTCAAAATTAACGAATAGAATTGTGCTGACACTTCAGTTTGGTTGGATTTAAGTAAAATGTTTAAATGGTATTTTTAATTGCAAAGCTCCTGCCCCTAAGTCCCATTATAAATATTTTTTTTCTATCCTTGACAGAAGTCATTAATTTCCTTTTCCAACTAGAAAAGTACGAATCTTCCAGAACAACCTCAAGTAAATCTGAAGATTACCTTAATAGATTGAAACGCTCACTGTATATGTTCTGAAACAAAATTTGGAGCTTAGTGAACTGTTAGAAATAAGTGCTAAAGGAAGTGGGTCCAAATTTTGAGTTTGATTCCCAGGAAATGAACGCATTTATATTGCTGGAATTAAATTTTTAAACTTGCTCTTGAGCTATGTGAATTTTTTAACTTGATATTTGTCTGGAAAATAAAAAAGAAATCGAATGAGTTCCTCACCCAGTGGCTTCAGAATAACGGCCATATGTTTTTCAAAAGCTAGAAATTTTAAGTTAATAGCTTAGTTACCTTATTACTGAGGGAAAGAGAAATGTTTAACAACTTCTGTTTGTTTTTACTGACTTTGAAATTTTGTAGAAATGAACTGAAAATGTTTTTCATTAATTTAAGTTCTGTAATAGAGTATTTTGCCGGAAGTCAGAATATCTAGATTGTAGTACTAGGTCAGTTAACAACTTTCTGGGTTCTTATGGTAATTTTTAAACCACTTTCTATTTCCAAGAGAACTGAAGGGTAATAATAATACCTATCTTACCACATCACACAGTTACTGAGAATATCAAATGAAATGATTTCTGCAAAATATTTAGACACAGAAAGGGCTATAGGAATATAAACAGTGTTACTTAAAATATTATTAGTATGTATAAACTACTTTAAATATATTGCATTTAGGATTTTCTTAGGGGAAGATGCGTAATTTCACAGACATCTACCTTAATTTTATGATGATGTGACTGAAACCATTAGTAGTTATTGGAATTGATCCACTGAAGGTTGTTTACTTTTTAAAAAATATCTGGAGAATAACTAACCTGTAGTGCATTTGTTCTTGGAACCAAACATGTGGAATAATTGAAATAAGAGAAATGTGGGGTTCATTTCATTTGCTCACTGTGAGCTCTCAATACATGGAAAGCAGGAATGGTATGACTGAATAATAGTGAAAATGAACAGCCTGGTGGACATGAGTTCTAAGGACTCCAGGCCAGATTCTTTGGGTGCTGCCCTGTCTGATGTCAGCTGTGTGACCTTTTTAGGCTTCATTAGCTTGTCCACTTCGTTTGGTGCTTGAGAAAACACATAAGCCTGCAGGGAACATTAGGCCCTGTTAAAACTATTTTCCTGGCTTGCAGGCACATACCAAACTCCCAGGTAAAGCACATTAAAGTGGCTAAACATTCACTCAGAGGGGAAGGAGTTGCTTTCAGGAATTTAAAATCATTTCTAAGTCTTAGAATTCAGCAGAGGACGACCTAAAAATGTTTTTAATTTCAATGAACATGCATATGCTTTTCTTTCCTCTTGTTTCACTGATCCAGAGGGACCCTCAGCGAATATGCCCCTTTGACCTTTTCCTAGTCATGCAATTACCCTCATCCTGCTTTTTCTCTTTTGCACTTCCTTTCCCAAATAGCCTTTCTTTGGTGGTGTGGTTTAAATTGTGCAGCGCCTACTTCAGATATGGCCACCTGGATTAACTTTAATCCTCCACTCTGACTTGGCTGGGACCTGACCATCAAGGGCACTGCCCTCTTGGGAGCCAGTCTGGGTTTTGCCTGAGGTTCACAGCAACCCAAAATATTTACAAACATTTCGTTTTCCATCCTTGGGAATGCAGTATGGAAGATTTTAGTTTCTCTCTTTTTTTTTTTTTTTTCTTTTTTAACTCCCTCTTCTCTGTGCTGAGTGACATTTGGGAACACGAGAAACAGGTATGAAGATTACCAACTGCGACAGTTCAGTAGTGGTTATGAGTTTGAGTTGGCAAATCAGGCCCAGGAGACACAATAGGCTTTAATCTAACACCATTTTTATTCAGCTTTCTGGAAGGAAACAAGGCAGGAGACACAGCAAAAAGATTCAGGATCGTCATCATGGGGAGGCCCACCAGCTACACCAGTGACAGCTTTCTTTTTTTTTTTCTGTCTTTTCTCCCACACATGGCCAAGGTGTGACAGCCAAGGTGTGTGGGGTAACCTTGTCACAGAGAGGCCAGTCCCTTTGCCTCACCAGTGTTGTGTATGGTTTTCATCAAGACCGAGGTCTGCATGCCAGCTCGCAGATCCCTCGACCTGGGTTTTTTTTGTTGTTTTTTTTTTCCACACAATAAGGAGGGAGAGACCCTCATTTATCTCAGCTCTACTGTTTCCAAGGAAACAGGGCCATGCAAGCTGAGGTCATTCTCAAGCAGGCCTGCCTCAGCCGAGGGAGGCCTGATGTTAACCCTTTATTCATACTCACGCCTACTGCTGTAGAAATGGTAGCATCACTATGTACAATGCTAATGCTCAGCTTCCATGTGCTAGTAGAATGTCTTTAATATCAACTTTACCACTGTCTATTTTCTAGGGCAATAAATAGAAAGGAAAAGGCTGAGATAGAGATCTAGCCATCTATCCCTTCATCCAACCATTCAACTCTCCCGTTACTGAGGGTACATTGCGTGCCTCACCTGAGTGTAGGGACTGAGGATGAAAAAATGGACAGAATGCAGACCTGACCACTGAATGCTTCAGAATCAGCAGGGCAACCTCTCCGCATGTGGATTACTGTACTGCCAATCTCCAAGTTCCATACAAAACAGAGTGCTGTAAGAGCACAGAGAAGACAGCAACTCACTATTTGGCCAACATTTTGTATCTTATAGACTTCATTCAGCATTTCTGTAACAAACATGTCCATATAGAATAGTAACTGATCTCCACAATGGTAACTCTGGGATATTGCAAAATCCTAAGGTGCCCTCCGAATCACTGAAAAAAGACTTTAGAGTTATCTGTATTTTATTATATTCTAGACCATAAATATTAAAATAAATTTTGTATTCCCCCCAAGAACATTAACATAGTATTATGTGTCTAGGAAATGAATGATAAGGGTTTGTTGAACTAAGTCTAAATAATACCACTAGGGGCATTTCCTGATATTCAAGACATGTAGTTATGGACAAATAAATAAGATATGCTTCAAATTCAAACTTTTGGAGGTTATATCTTCCAAGAGTTCATATCTACTGAAAAAAGATAACAATATTAAAAAAAACATGTTAAGGCTAGGGGCAGTGGCTCACACCTGTAATCCTAGTACTTTGGGAGGCCGAGGTGGGAGAATTGCTTGAGGCCAGGAGTTCGAGACCAGCCTGGACAAAATAGCAAGACTCCATCTCTACAAAAACAAACATATAAAAACACTTTAGGTAAGTCCATTAATTGTTTTTCTGTAATAGGCTATGGGAGAGTAGTGCTGAGGCATGTTAAATTTCTAACTTTGAAACGGATGTCAAGGACGTAACTGCTCCCTTCTTCAACACGGTTCTTGATGTCATCATCAGATGCAGTTCTAAGCTGGGGAAGCCCTTGATCTGATCCAGTCATTCTGATTTCATTACTTAGGAAACTTGTTTGTGACATTCACATATATTTTTTCCTTTTATTATTTTCTCCAAATACAATACAAATTCATGAGTCTTTTGCCAGCTTGGGGGAGAATCCAAGTTTATTGTTAGCTTATAACATGATTAAGATCCAGGTTTAGTTTCAACAAAGAAAGGAGGATAAAATTAAAGAAATCAGCCAGAATGTCAACCAAAAATAATTTAAATATAATTTAAAATACCCTAAATTTAAGGTTATGCATTTCCAGAATCCAAGAGCTCACGGACCCATGGGAGTGTTAAGGGACTCCAACTAATTTGGAAAACAGTTTTTCATTGCCTGTGGAGTGGAAAGTAGGCATAACATAAGGAATGGTGCTATCATAACAAGACCGACAGCCTAATTTGACCATTTAAACTATATGCATGTATAACTTCATTAACAATAGATTATTTTCAAGAATGCTATTAATAGTTTCTTGCTTTTCATAATAATAATTACTCTTTACTGAAGACATTCTGTCAGGCATGGAGACAAACTTTTTTCAGACATTATTTGTAAGTTTTATATGACCCTGGAAGTGAATTATTATCATCAACATTTACAGAGACAAAAACTACCCCTAAGAGAAGTTAAATTACTTTTCTAATACTACATCTATCTTGCTGTAAAGCTCACTCTCTGGCCAGGTGTGGTGGATCACGCCTGTAATCTCAGCACTTTGGGAGGGATCACCTGAGGTCAGGAGTTCAAGACCAGCCTGGTCAACATGGTGGAACCCTGTCTCTACTAGGGGGTGGTGGCAGGTGCTTGTAATCCCAGCCACTCTGGAGGCTGAGGCAGGAGAATCGCTTTAACTCGGGAGATGGAGGTTGCACTGAGCCGAGATCATGCCGTTGTGCTCCAGCCTGGACGACAAGAGTGAAACTCCGCCTCAAAGAAAAAATAAACATAAAAAATAAAATAAATAAATAAAGCTCACTCTCTGTCCTCTAGACCAGTCATTCCTCTGAGGTAGTTCCCTAGGACCTAACTTAGGAATATTCCTTTTATGGTATTCCTGGGAACTGAGGCTCACATAACTTTGCTGTGTGACATACATTCATGATGGTGGCAGCAATAACAGGATGTTCTGAATTTGATCACTAGAAGTGACAACTTTGTTCTCTTCTAGCAGCTGGAGGCATTTAGAGGGCTTTTCTGATGGCCACTGAAGGAGAGAGAGCCCTCAGATGTCAGGGGCCTTCCCAGTAGAGAAAGATACTGAGTTGAACTGCAAGGGTGGATGGCAAGTGTCAACATGTGGATGAACTATGGCTTTTGATTCCCTTTTTTGGTGAGCTAGTTTCAGACTGCTGGGTTCTGTACAGGCAACTTCTAAGTAAACTAGAACTGACAGATAATAAATATATAGCTAGGGCTGTAGCAACGGAAATCGATGCATTTCAAGTTCCACATAAGAGAAAGCAGTCAAGGTGTTTCAAGTCCTTTTAGAGTGATGAATGCAATTTACGCAATAAGCAAGAAAACATGATTGGGAATAGATGGTGTAAGATCTCATCTAGGAGAAGGAAAAGAAGTGTCTGATGGGGTGATGTTGCTAACCTTAGAAATCGCCGGCAAAATCAGCTTTGAAAGTTATCAAAAAGACAAACACACACAAAACCCTGTGAATATAAGCCAGAGAAACAGAAAAGTTCAGATTGTGTGTTGATCCACATCACCCTCATAAAAGATATGGCCCAGCCTGGAACGTGCAGTTGACTGCATTTGTTTTAAGTGAGTCTACCTTTCTTGCCTGATAGAAGTGGAACCAAATGACAGCCAGGTCTAGAGACAAATAAAGACATTTTGTGCAAGTAGGGGCAAGCGGACCCTATATGTTTCCAGAGAGCTTTTGCCATGTCACTGCCAAATCTTAGGCTAGTAGCTAATCAGAATGGCACAGTCCTCTGATGGGAGGCCTTATGGGGCACAAAATAAACTCACTGAAGTTTTTTTTTAATGACATCTCTTATAAAATAGGCCTCATGTATCCCCCAAACTGTAAAGTCCATGTATTTCAATAATCTAATAACAGTGATGGGAGTTGAGGGAGATGTCCCCCTATGCCCTCCAAAGACCAAACTCCTGACATTGGGGTAAATCCTTCCCCTTTCCTCTTCTGCAGAAGGAGCTTTTCAAGGAGGCAATAGAGTATCCCTTGGGCTGAGCCTGGGCTTTGGAGTTGCCCTAGGAGACAGACTCTGTGTATAGTTTTGGATCAGCATCCCTGCTCTGCTATTCTGTGACCTTGGGCAAATTACCTAACCTCTCTGAAGGAGAGTATAATCTGTTGTCAATGGGGATGGTGTGATCCCCTCCTTCAGAGCATGACTGTGAGCATTCAGTGGGGTAATGCATATGGAACACGCAGCAGAGCTTGCACACAGTCAGCACTCAATAGATGTTACCTTTATAAAGCTACTTCATTATTCTAAGCTTCCCTTCCTAACTTTTAAACTGGGCATAATACAACCCCCCCCCCCGCCCCCACCATGGGGCTGTATGTGAGATTCAAGCTAGTGTAGGTGAGGAGTCTGGCTCACGATGAGCCCTTGATGAATGGTGGCCATTATTCCTTAGCCCTGCAAACTCTATCAGAGGTTAGAAATGCAAAAGGAGGGCCAGGCACGGTGGCTCACGCCTGTAATCCCGGTGCTTTGGGAGGCTGAGGTGGTCGGATCACGAGGTCAGGAGATCGAGACCATCCTTGCTAACATGGTGGAACCCCGTCTCTACTAAAAATACAAAAAAATTACCCGGGTGTGGTGGCGGGCGCCTGTAGTCCCAGCTACTCGGGAGGCTGAGGCAGGAGAATGGCATGCCTGTAATCCCAGCACTTTGGGAGGCCAAGGTGGGTGGATCACTTGAAGTCAGTATTTAGAGACCATGTTAGAGATGGTGAAACACCATCTCTACTAAAAATACAAAAATTAGCCAGGCATGGTGGTGGGCACCTGTAATCCCAGCTACTTGAGAGGCAGAGGTTGCAGTGAGCCAAGATTGCACCACTGCACTCCAGCCTGAGCAACAGAGCGAGACTCCATCTCAAAAAAAGAAATGCAAAAGGATTCAGCAGTCTGAAGGTTGATCCCAGGACACATACAAACCGAATGAAGATGAATTAGGTGAATAAGTTTCTGTTTCTCTTCACACTCTGTGCCTCATTCAATTAGGCTCTTCACATTGATGCACCATTGGTTCATCTGGCTTCAGGTTCAGGCTCCACCCTAGGAAGTGACTTGTCAAGATGTGCTCCTTTCCTGGGTCCCAGGGCTATGTGCTCTCCTAAACTATCTCCCTTTCTTGCTTAACAGCTAATAGCTGGAGAAAATGGACTAAAGAAGTGTTTCCACCTGTCCTTACTTGCGCCTCTCTTGTTTATTGCACGCAAAAGATTAAGAACTCATGGTTTAAAAAATCAAATCTGGTCTGACATAATCCCATGTTCCAAATCACTATTGTTTTGTAAAAAATCAGCCTAAAACTTTAAGGCTTAGAACATGGCAACCGTTTTATTATCCTGCTGATCAGGACTTGGGAAGGGTTCAGGTGGGTAGGTCTGGCTCTGGGTTTCTCAGGTGCTTGCAGTCAAACTATGGCTGGAGTCTCAGCACTTCTCCATCTGGGCTCTTGGAATGCCAGTGCTCCTAGGGTGGCTTTAACTCTCCGACATGAGTGTTCCAGAGAACAAGGAGGAAGCTGCATCACCGTTTATGACCTAGCCTCAGAAGCAGAACTGATTCTATACTTCGTGGGCCCAAGGCAAGGTGAAAATGTGGGCCCCTTGTTCACAAATTATCAAGAAGCTCAAGACTGCAACAGCAGAGCATTATACCAAGTGCAGGGCTCTTTGAGCATGCGGCCCTCTATGATTTCATAGGTCTGATGCCTATGAAAGTCATATGGTGTCACTCTAACCATACTTTATTGGTCACTAAAGTTAAGTCAGATTCAAGGGGGAAGGGATGTAGAACCTACATTTAAAAAAATTTAATTTTTGTGGATACATAGTAGGTATATACATTTATAGGGTACATGAGATATTTTGAGACAGGTATACAATGTGTAATAATCACCTCAGGGTAAATGGGGCATCCATCACCTCAAGCATTTATCCTTTGTATTACAAACAATTCAATTGTTTAGTTATTTAAAGTGTGAAATTAAGTTATTATTGACTATTGTCACCCTGTTGTGCTATCAAATACTAGATCTTTTTTATTCTTTCTATTTTTTTGAATCTGTTAACCATCCCCACTTCCCACTACCCTATTACCCTTCCCAGCCTCTGGTAACCATCATTCTACTCCCTATCTCCATGCATTGAATTATTTTACTTTCTAGCTCCCACAAATAAATGAGAAAATGTGAAGTTCATCTCTCTGTGTCTGTCTTACTCCACTCAACATAATGACCTCCAGTTCCATTCATGTTGTTGCAAATGACAGAATCTTTTTTTTTGTGTGTGGCTGAATAGTACTCCATTGTGTATATGTACCACATTCTCTCCATCCATTCATTTGTTGATGGACACTTAGGTTGCTTCCAAATCTTGGCTATTGTAAACAGAGCTGCTACAAACATGGGCATGCAGATATCTCTTCGATATACTGATTTCCTTTCTTTGGGGTATATAGCTAGCAGTGGGATTGCTGGATTAGATGGTAGCTCTATCTTTAGTTTGTGGAACCTCCAAATTGTTCTCTATAGTCCTTGTGCTAATTTACAGTCTCACCAACAGAGTATGAAGAGAACTTGCCTTTTGCAGACAGGAGTATTGAATATTTTGCAGAGATGTATTACAGTCTTCACATCCAGTTTCCTGTGACGCCGCCTCTCTTTTACTTTTCTGTGTTCTGCTGATCATTCTCTGTTTTACATTAATTCTTGCTGCCTGTGGCTTATCATTTCCTCATACAGCCAGCGTCTTCTGTATCTGCGGGTTCTATATCCTCAGATTCCACATCCTCTGATACAAACAACTACTGATGGAAAGTATTTGGGAAAGAAAAAAAAACTGATATAACAATAAAAATAATACAAATCAAAAACAATACAATATAACAACCATTTACATGGCCTTTACATTGTTCCAGGTATTATACCTAATTTAGAGAATGTGCATAGATTATATGCAAACACTATGCCATTTTATACCAGGGATTTGAGCATCTGTGGATTTCAATATCCTTGGCAGTTCCTGGATCCAATCCCTCGAGAAGACAGAGGGATGACTTTATTAGGGTCCTTAGTACTAATCTGCAGAATTTTTTTTTAGTTTTCATATGAAATTCGTTAAATAGCAAGCCTTTAAGAACTTTATGGGAATATGACTTTCTAATTTCCTTGACAAAATGCTTCCCACCTACCTGGAAAAGGCTTGTCAGAGTTTTCTGCCTTTCACTGAGTTCTCTGCTCCATGGCCAGCTGCCTCTGGGCTGTGTCCCTTTGTGTTTAACATCTGCCAGTATAGAGGGAGGGGTTGAATTCATTGAATTACTCAAAGAGAAAGAATAACTTCTTTATCGGGGTTAAAACTGAAAAGAAAAAATGTATGCGTTCTACCCCCACCCCAGCGCGCGCGCGCGTGCACACACACACACACACACACACACACACACACACCACTCTTTGGACAGATGTGTGAACAGTGCCCTCTACTTGGACACATTGAGCATCTTTGTCTGCTGCAGCTGAGGGGTCTATTTAATCTTCATTGTCATATGGCCTTCACTAAGATTTTCCAGATTATTTTCTTCCACCCAGGCCACTGAGTTTCTAACTTCCTAAAAATTAATTAGATATGAACTAGCTTGTTTATGTCACTTTAAGTTTACATGGCATTAAATTCTTAGAAATTAATTAGATGTTAACTAGCACGTTTATGTCACTTTAAGTTTATATAATACTTTCAGCTATATTACCCAGTTGCAACCTCAAAAGAAACCCCTGTCTTATTTGTCCCTATTGATAGTTGAGAAACTCGAGGTTCAAAAGTGTAAGTGCCCTTTTCAAGATCACACAGCTTTTAAGACATGAAACTGGGAACTAAAGCACATCTTCTCACTCCAAATACCTGCTGTGCATATGCAGTGTATCATGCTAGTGCCTACTGAATTTCAGCGCAAAATTCTTCATTACTTGTGTCAACAAGGCTCAGTGGTGCTGACAATGGATAATCTGCCCGAATATTTCAAGGCCTTGCTTAACATTTTTTCTTTCTTTATTTTTTGATAGATAATATGTGAACATGATAAAAAATTTAAAAAAATACAAGTTTTCCTCCATCCTTGATCCTAAAATGTACATATATAGCTGTATACATATACATCTAATACATACACAAATGGTAGAATACTGTATGTTCTGTTCTACACCTTGATTTGTTTCACATAACAGTATAACTTGGAGCTCATTCAGCGCACCTAGAGCTATCTCACTCCTATTAACAACTGTAGAATCTTTTTCTTTCTTTCTTCCCTCCCTCCTTCCTCCCTCCTTTCCTCCCTCCCCCCTTCCTTCCTTTTCTCCCTCCCTTCCTAGCTTCCTCCTTTCTTTCCTTCCCTTCCTTACCCTCCTTCTACCCCTTCCCCCCTTCCCTTCCCTTCCCCTTCCTCCCTTCCTCCCTTCCTTCCACTCCTGCTCTTCCTCCTTCCCTCCCTCCCTCCCTTCCTTCCTTCCTCCCTCCCTTCCCTTTTTTCCCTTCCTCTCTTCTCTTCTCTTCTCTAAGACAGGGTCTTGTTCTGTCACCTAGGTTGGAGTGCTAGGTGTGATTATAGCTCACTGCCCCCTCAAACTCCTGTGCTCAAGAGATCCTCCTGCCTTGGCCTCCTAAAGTGCTGGGACTACAAGCATGCACCACCCCACCTGGCAACTCTTTAAATATTTTGTAGACATGGGGTCTTATTTTTTTGCCCATGCTGGTCTTGAACTACGCATTGAGCTCCCAAAGTTCTGGGATTACAGGCCACCATGCCTGGCCAAGAATATTTCATTGCATGTAAGTGCTATCACTTATTTAATCAGTCTCCAACTGAAAGACACTTGATTTGCATTATTTTCTATTACCAAAAAATATTGCATTAATTTCCCTTTTTTGTATACTAGGAAAATATTTTTATTAGATATACTAGGATCAGAATATGTATATGTAAAGGTTTCACAGATATTTAATTTTGATGTAAGTAGAATTTGTGGGTCAAAAATATGTACATTTATATTTTTGACAGATATTCCCAAATTTCCTTGTATAAAGATTGTTCTAATCACCTTCCCAACAACACTGTATAAGAGCCCTTGTTTCACTTTTCTAATGTGTCATCACATTTTTGTTTTTCACCAGTGTGATAGTTAAAAATGGGATCTTATAGTGTTATTTGAATTTCACTTATTTTGAGTAAGATTGACTACTTTCTAATATGCTGGAAAGCCATTTGTATTTCATTTTTGTGAGTTACTATTTTTACCCATTTTTTTCTTTTGTATTGTTGATATTTTCTTAATGATTTGTTGGAATATTTTATATATTGCAAATAATTTTTTCTTTTTGTTATATGTAAGCTGGAGAAAGAGCATTTTCAGGCAGAAGGAATAGCAAATGAAAATATCTTGAGGCATACAAGAAGAAAAGAAAGAACCGTGGGGCGATTTTTCTCCATGTTGTGGTTTCTTTACATGTAGAAATTAAAAATATTGTATAGTCAAATTCATTTTTTTAATATTACAGCAGATTCTACATAGTTTCAAGACCAACTGATTCTGAAGTTGTAAAAATTTATCCCATATTTCCTTTTAGCAATTTTAATGGCTTCATTTTGTATGTTGAAATCTATCCATCAATAATTTATTTTTTGTGAAAGGCCAAAAGTCAAAATATATTTCCCTCAGATGGCTGTTCAGTTGTTCTGACAGTTATTGGACAATCCATCTTTTACCTACTGATTTGAAATGACACTTTGATCATATCTTAAATTCCTGCATGTATTTGAGTCCATTCCAGGACTCCCTGTTGTGCTCTATTGTTCTGTTCTTCCAGGCATAATACCATATTGTTTTAATTAGCATAGCTTTATAATATCTTTTGCTCTCTACTTGGACTTACCTCTTCATTACTCACTTTTCTCAGAATATTCTTGACTGTTCATTTTTCCATATTAACCTTAGAGTTCATTTTTCCATATTAATCTTAGAATCAGCTGGTTTCATTCTAAATATTCCTGTTGGTGCCTTTATTGAGATAGCTTTGAATGGACATGTTTAATTTAATATTGAGTCTTACTAGTTATTCCTCTGAATTTTAAGATGAGTTTTCTTGAAGTCAACAACTATATGAGGACAAGCATTAATAATATTCTCATTTTACAGAGGCAGCAGAAATCTTCTGAGAGGTTCAAAACATTTCTTATTCCTCAAGTTCACAAAACTGACAAGCCTTGGAGAGGGCCTAGGCCCAGATGGTCTCCCTTATATACTTGATCTTCCATCTACTCAGTCTCATCTATGCCCTTATGACAGGGAGAGGCAGCTCCTGGAAACCAGTGACACATCTGTTGTGGCATGCAGTCAGGCAAACCAGCATGGGGTGGCAAAATAGCGTGGGCTTTGTGCCTAGCAAGATCCCAGTTTCCTTCATGACTTTGCTATTTCCTATCTGTGAGACCTTCCAGAAACTGTTTCTTAGACAGTATTTAATTTACAGAGGATTAAGAGACTATGCCCTACCTAATACTTGGCACTTGGAAGCACTCAATCAATGGTATGTTCCCCAGACCCCTTCAGAAAGGCGTTAAATTCTTTTCCCATGTGACACTGATCTTAGTGATATCTTTGTGATGTTAAGCTTACCATGCTGGTGATTTTCCCTCACAGATGAAGTTTCAGGCTACATAATAAGGGGATAATCTTTAGGCCACAGAGGGAAATAATCTTTAGGCCACCTAAGCTATGCTTAAGGTAGCACGTGGCCTTGCTCTCCACAGCTTCCCCACTCAGCTGTGCTAAGGCATCCTGTCTGCCCCTTTAGGATGCTTTTTGGGGGTCTTCATTGGAGGCTTTCCCCTGCTCCCCCACCCTTTCTCTAGGGCTAATTTTTATTAGAAAACAGCCATTTAAAATGAATCCACTTAGAATAGGGACTAAAACTTTATAGTAAATAGTGAAAAATGTCTTAATTGGTTATTGGTTATCTTGGAAAATAAAACTAAAATTTATAAAAATAAGTTCTGTTTTGGGGATAAAATTAACACAATAATTATAAGTTTAGAGTGAACAGAGAATGAATCATGATTGATTCATTTTTGGTAAAAAATGTTTCAAAGATAATTGTATGATTATTTATTTCACATTTTTGCATCATAAGGAAAAAGTTGAGCACTTCATTAGTTTTCCTAAGGGTCTCTCTTCATCTGGAGGAATTTCAGTAACACTTGCTTTGCTGGATTGAAGAGTTCTGTCTCTGCAGGAGCCTCATTTGTCAATGGCTTTGCTCATAATTCCAGCAGCTCTCAACCATAACTTTGGTCAACTTTATGAATTCATTCATCTTTTGCAAGTTTGGCAATTTCACATTGCAATTTTGTTGCATGAAATTGTACTGATTTTTTCAAATGAAGTTTGTGGCATGTGAGAGCCAGTGTAGTAAACTGAAATAATTGTCCCCCAATCATGTCCATGTTCTAGTTCCTGGAACTGGTGAATGTTACCTTATAGACAAAGGGGACTTTGCAGATATGATTAAATTAATGATCTTGAGATCTTAAGGATCTTATCCTGGATTATCCAGATGGGTCTGATGTAACACAAAGATTCTTAGAAGAGGGGGACAGGAGATCAGAATGAGTAGTAGGAGATGTGTTCATAAAAGCAAGAGATTGAAATGAGAGATCAGAAGAGACTGGAATTTCCCATCAGCCGGGAAAAGCCCACAGCCTCTAGAAGTTAGAAGAAACAAGGAACAGATTTCTCTCCTGGAACTTTCAGAAAGAACAAACTCTGCCAATACCTTAATCTTAGCCCTAGAATTCTTTTCAGACTTCTGACCTTCAGAACTGTAAGATAATAAATTTGCGTTGCCTTAGGCCACTAAGTTTGTCTAGTTTGTCTCAGCAACAATATGAAACTAATACTGTCAAACAGTGACCAAAGTTCTGATGAGAGCACAGGAGTGAATGAGTCTTGTCATGAGGAGTGTCAGTTCATACTGAATACTTTAATGACTTTGTCTTCTTCATATAGCCTATTGTGATGTATGTGTCTGTAGGTGTACACGTGTGTGTGTGTGTGTGTGTGTGTGTGTTTACAAAGGAAAAGTAATATTCAAAGGGCAATTGGTATAAACTTTTCCTCTCTTCTGTCTTATCAGGAGTGGGGATTCTTCCTCGCAGGATGCCTGTATTCAGTTAGGGAAATGGTTGAAGACAAAAACTGAAGAAGCCACGGAGGACTGGTGATTGCACTTAAGAAACAGCCTGAAACTATCTGAGGCCTAAAGGAAGATGCTGACAGGTTAGTGAGACATCCAGCCAGGTGATGCCAGAATATTTTCAGAGACAGAGAATGAGAATAGGTGCAGCTGTGCCAAGAGGGAGGACTCTGGGGTGGGAGGGGCAGGGTGGGGGCAGAGAGAAGTCAGGAGGATTTTAGAAAGTTTTACTGTGTGTTTTGTATTATAATCTATACCTCTGCTGCTGCCCAACCAGCCCCCCTTCATGGAAATCTTTAATAACGATCCAGGGTTAGGCTTTTGTTTATTTTTAAAAGTAGCTCTGGAGTGCAGCTGGTCCTCAAGCAGGAGGAGGCACAATTTTATCTGGATGGCATGTTATCAAAAACTTTTATTATTTCTTACCAGAGGCTTCTCAGCCTGGTCTTTCTGACCTATAATCTAGGCTGGGTCCCAAAATGCCTGCAGCTCTGGTCTTCAGCATTTTGAGTAAAGCCTTCTTATTGACTGTCTTCTTAGAAGCTGCCTTTATGGCAATTTGTGCTTTCTGAGCAACTGCTTTGTGGGAAAGGCCTTCGAGAGAGAAGCCTTTTTAACCTCAGCTTTATGCTTCTGTTTCTTATTTTCTCTGCTTTTCTGAACTTGTAACACATATCTGTCATTTTGGAATTCCTTTCTCTGGCCACTATCTTTTTGGTTTATCTTGTAACTGACTATTTTGGATGGATACTCCTTTCTGGGGCAGCTCCTATACCGTTTGATGAGCACTCTGTGGAGATTTGCGAGTAAAGTCAATGAACTGTGTATGTTTGCACACCAAAAGCTCACATCATTATACTACTTCATACACCATCAACCAAGGTTCAGTTCTGATCAATAATAATGATGATTACAACCAGACTCCCAGCATGTGGCCCTCAGGAAATGCAGACTCCCCAGCCAGCTTCCATATAGTGTTTGGTGACTTCCAGCCTGAAGCACTGGAGGCTTCTGTGCAGTTTCGGTTAGATGTCTCCTTTACTGTGTCCCTGCCTTGGCCCCAGAGAGAATTAAATATGGTTTTCGACTTTGAAATATCCTCTGCATGTTATTGGGCTTGTGGGTTCTGCTTGAAATTATCCTAAAATGTGCTATGTGATTTGAGTGATTTAATTTTATTACTACTTTTTCCCCAGTTGAAGTTTGGCTGAATGATTAACAGTTGGTTAGAGAGGTCATTCAGGAGGCACAACTCACTGGGAATTCCATTGCCGATCCTCACGTGTTCAGCTTCCCATTCCAGCAATGACTTCCTCCCTGGAAAGAGGGGCTCTGTCCATGTATTTATGATCTCAACGGATCAAGTCAGGGAGAACATAATGGGATTTATTTTTCTCTGGGGTCTGAAAGTCCTGCACTGCAGTGTCCATATGGACCATCTTGCCTTGCCAGTGCTCCATGAAATGCAGCTGAGTCCAAAGAGCTGGGGCCTCCAACTGGCCTGTGTACCAGGAGGCAGGCACGTGGTGTGGCTGGTGTATGGAAGTTTTATGGCTTTAAGGGTATAATTAAGTCCTGAGTGATGACTACAGAAAACTAATAGCTCTGGAAGCGCAAATAAGAAAGGAGTCTTTAGCACAAATGAAAAGCAAGGACTTGTTTCAGGAAATTTTTGACAAAGGTGAAACAAATGGACAAGCCTGAGTTACTTTTTTTTTTTTTTTTTAATAGATTTGGTGAGCAGAGGAATCTGTCACCCAACAGAATCATTTACTAAGCAAAGATGAAAATTCTTAGATAAACATCGATGTTTTGCCTGGTGGCTGGCATGCTAGGATTATTTTGACAGAAAGTAAATAGCAGGGTAATATATGTGACTTGAGAGAAAAAAATTTGGGTCAACTCATGTTATTCTGTGAAAAGATTCAATCAATTTCACTCCCATTGCCAGAGGAAGAAGTTATGTAGCCACGTTGGGTAAGGCTCACAAATTACTCTACAATCAAGAAGTAAATAATATCTAAACCCTACAAATTGAATTTTTATTAAGAAATTCATCTCTGCTTACCTCAGGGTTTATAAAATCTTTTAGAGCTTGTGAGAAAGGCAATATATCTCAATGTACAAAACCAGACTGATTGGGGTGAGGAATTTTAATTCTTAGGGTCGGGAATATGCCTCACCTTTTAAAACAGGCTTAATGAGAAAGGAGCAGACAAATGTTGCTTTAAAAGCGATTCTAATTCTTCTTGTGTTGTCTTTTATCTATATTACAACTCCTGTTGCTAGTTTCATATACTTTACAAATTGGGATTAACGGCTTTTTTTTGCATAAGAGTTTCAAGGTCACGATTTCATAAATTGAGTAAATAAATAAATCCCTCTCTATCATTGACTTTCTGTATACTTAACATCTATATGTTTATTACTTTCTGCATTCGTAAGATGCCAGTACTGCTATTAAAAAAATTTGTATTTCCCGTACCAGGGCTTGTTGTTTAACCAAAAAATATAAGTGGCAAGGCTTAGCATAACCTTTTTCCAAGGTGAACAAGTGAAAATGTTTATTCTGCTTTTGTGCTGCCCATTGTCAGATTCTCTTCTATAAGAATGGATGATAAAAATAGCAGCTACAGTTTGAGAAATTATGTGAAAGGTATTTTGCTTGTAGGTGCTCATTTAAGAAAGGTATTATTATTCCTATTTTATGGTGGAGGAAACTGAGATTGAGAGAGTTTAAGGAACTTGTCTGTGTAATTAAGGGTGGTTTCAGAGCCAAATTTTGAATGCTGAGCTGTGTTCGCTCTGAAAGCCTGGCTCTTTCTACAATTTCCCACCATATTTCAAAAACTATATCCCTTCTGACCTATGATCTGGGTCATATATCCCTTTACAGCTCTGCCCCTTGACCCCTTCCCTGACCTCTACCAGTTACAGAGGTCTGGGTCATGGAACATTGTTGAGGCAAGAATTTCTGATGTGGCATCAGTAGGGTAGGCTGGATTATGCTGTGGTATAAGCAACCCTAATATCTCAGTGGCTTGAGATAGCAAAGACTTATTGCTTGTCATTTGTCTAAACTGCGTGTCCAACTTGGAGGTGTCTCTGATTCAGGATTTCCCTAGGATCAGGCTGTTGGAGCCTCCAACATATGGTACATTGCCGGACCCTCTGACAGGGTGAGGGAACAGGGTCAATCAGGCATGGGCTTTCCAAGGCTTCTGATGGGAAGTGACACATGGACTTCCTCTCTCATGTCCTTGTCTAAAGCATTTCACTTGGCCCTGCCCAACTTCACAGGAGCAGGCATGGTACTGCCATATCCCCAGAAGGGAGGGAACAAGCAATGTCACACTACTTGGCACACTACTATGTAGATCCAAAATAAAGCTATGTTGAGCTTAAAATAAATACATGTTAGCTTTAAAAAATTGCAATACATAATAGTTACAATTTAAAGAGTTCCCTAGACCCATTCCTAAGGACCAGAAAAGACATGACTACTCCAGAGATTGTTCTAATTCAGTAACCTACATTAACGACTTCCTTGTAGCAGAATTGAGAGGTGACATGTTTTCCTTCTCTAAAAAGGCACTATTTATAATGACTTGTTTGTTAGCTGGATTTTAAAGAAGAGATAGAGGTAGATTTAAAAGTAACCAGCACAGATGTGTTGAAAAAATAATTGAAAGGACAGTAAAATTTTCCTAGTTCATCTGGGCTTCTCCCCAAGGGTTCCCATTTATATAATCCATATAAGACTGAAAACTGAAATTTAGTGTTTTAATTCAAATGAGATAGATCGCTAGGTACCTTCTAGATTGTTTTTGTAAAACAGGAAGGTGTAAATTAACTCTCAGGTGTCAATTTGAACGAGCCCACGAGGCAAATGACAGGAAGATTGGTTAGAGAAATTTCTCCAGCAGAGAGGACTACGTTGGTTGGGGCTTGGAGGCAAGAGAAACCTTAGCTGTCCTAAATAAAAATTCTGTGCAGTGATTGCAATTAATAGCCCATCACATGAAAATAGAATGAAATCACCTGGAACTCTGTCCTGTAGTTGAGTTCAGAATTTGTGATTTTTAATTTTGGCATTTTAATTTTGTGCTGCTTTCAATATAAGCTAAGCATAGCAATCCCACAAAGGCATAATATAACTACTGGAGCTCTTAGCTTCTGCCTTGCAGTGCCCGGCAGTGCTCTTGCATGCTCTGTGAAAGATGCAATCACACAATCGAAGTAATATTTTTCCTGAGGTTCCCTGGGGCAGACTGGTTCTGCAATTTTCCAGTAATTGTTTTAGAAGGACAGCCCTGGATTTGGTTTTTCTATTAGATCTTTCCCCCTGGATTCTTCACACTGTGAAGAATCTTCTCTGTTGCCGGCCTCACTTAAGTACCCGAGATTGGGGTGGAATGGCGTGTACCATTAATTACCCAGTGGGATTTGGTGCCTCTCTGAATGGACTCCCTACTCCACAAATCCCTACTATCTGTGCAGGCTGGAACATAAGTATCTTTCCGAAGTACGTGATAAGGCATCCGGATTCTGTGGCATGAGGAGTGAGTTGCCCTTTAAGATTAATATACTTCTTTTGAGTTCACAACCCCAGAAATAACTAAGGTTTGTGCTTATAGATCTTTTTTTCCCTTTTATTTATCAGCCTTCATAGCAAACCTGTGAAGTTGATAAGCCACACACCATTGCTACGATTATTATTTTTTCCTTCTATTTCATAGGTAAGAAAATAAATGGAGGCTCTGGGTGTTTGGCCAAGCCAAAAAGCTACAAAATGCTAGAATCTGGCTTTTCAGACTCCAAGTCCTGTGCTCTTTTTTTATACAATGCTTGTTAGTGTTCTGGCCATGAGGTTTAATAAATAACATGGGAACAATAATAATAATCCAGTGTCCCCTCCCTTCATTGTCCCCAGAGTTACCAGTGGTTACAGACCCGGACTTCCTGTGAGGCGCCGCTGGTGGTCTGGCGCCCTCTGCTGGTGAAGTTGCCTGGCTTTCTCGTTGCTTGGTTTCCTCAGGATTTTATCTCCATCTTCCTGGCGCAACATCTTTCAGCAGAATGTGCCATTCTTATACGAAGGTAAGAAGCCATTCTGCTGGGCACCTTATTTGAAGAAACACTCAAAGAGAATCAAAGAAAGCAGGACTTGGCATTTCTTCAACAGTATACCCCTGTGTGTGAATGCTCCCCTTTTCCTGCCATCCGCCGAGGGGGCACTTTCAAGTACTCAGTTCCCAATGTGGCCCTGGCCCCCCTCAGCTCTGGCACTCTTTAAATTCCTTTGTCAAGAGAGTGAATATTCTTCTCCAGAACACACCAGGGGAGGCAGCCAAGAGGAAGAGAAGTCTGGGAGCCCTGGAAGAAGTTAGGCAGAAGCGCCTCATCCTCAGGGAGCCAAGATGGAGACGACCCATGACTCGACCCTAAAAAGGCGGGTCAGCTTCTGCAGAGTGGTAGGGAGCACGGGCTCCTGGTGGAAAGAGGCAGGTCTTCATGGACTGGGACCAAGTCCAACAGATCAGCTGAGACGACAAGGCAGGCAAGTAGAAATTGAGTGGAAGTGCTTAAGCTAGAGACAGATGAGTGACTCAACTGGTTAAGATTTGGTTAGTAAAAGGCTAGGGTTCTCAGGTGCTCACTTGAAATTTTTGTTTCATAGTCTTCTGTGGGAAAATAGAAAATAAATTGTGTGGCGGCCCTGCTGCTGTCAAAAGCAGTTGTCAATTTGCATCAGTTGTCAGTTTGCATAGTTTCTAATACACCGTCTAGAAGTTGTTATTAATAATTAGGATTTTCACTCTGATGAGTCACGGAGCAATTTATATAAATTAAAACACACAACATTATCTGGAAAAAGCATCAGAAGAAAGATGGCAAATTACCTATATCAGTGGTTCTTAAAGTGTGGTCCCTGGACCACCATCATAATCATCATCTGGGAACACATTAGAAATGCAAATTCTCAGGCCCCATCCCAGACCCATTGAATCAGAAACTCTGGAGGTGGGCCCGGCAATCTACAGTTTAACAAGCCCTCCAGGTGATTCTGATGCACACTCAAATGTGAGCAGCACTGCCTTAGATTATAGTATAAATGATGAATACTAGATCATTTTCACTAAGGAAGGCCTATAAATGTGATGGTTGGAGGGAAAGGAGGCAGGAATATGAGGCAACAATTTGAAAGACACATGTCTGCTATGTACTGAATAGTAAAGATTGCTTGAAGTTTGACTGTGAGATAAATTGAGCTAATAACAATACCATACAGCTTAAAGTTAAATTGCCATGATCACAAAAGGACAAGGTAGAGAGCCTGAAAGAAATGATGATAACTGGGATTGTTCAGGTCCATTCTGTGATTGTTCTAGGGCATTGCTGTGAGGCTGCCCTGTGTTCTGACACTGTGACCTTCTTTGATAGAAATGCAGGAAAATTATATCTTCTTGAAAAGGTCAAGACCAAAACGATTTCATAGAAAGTAATTTTCTTAGAGGGAAAAAGGAATTGACAATGTCATGTGAAAATTTTATTGAAAAATGTTTATTCAATTTAGGTAATAGTAAATGATAAAGCATCAGAAATGTCTTCTTTAATCTTTTATTAAAAGTGTGATTCATAAGACTTCAATGAAAAAAGATACAAAAGGGCCATAAGCATCATTCTCGTCTTCACCATCCAGTTATTTCTTTCTTGAAAAAACAGCATTTCTTTAACATAGTGTGAGATAATAAAGGGCTTCTGGAGAATTTAGTCCTTATGGCTGAGATTCCTGAAATTGCCAAATAAGTCACTGACTGTCATTTTGTGTGAAGGAGATGAAGAAAAACCTGTTCTCAATTACTGAGCAGCTGGTATGTTTTAATTGTTTGCTTTTTATAAGCAGTAAGATAAAAGGAGTATTCCTTAAGTATCCTTATATGTTATTAATGCAGTGCTTCTCACATGCATTGTGCATCATGATCCCCAGTGAACTTGTTAAAAATGCAGATTGGTTGCCTTTTGAGGTTTTGATTTAGTAGGGATATGATTTTTAACAAGCATCCAAATGATTTTGGTGTAGGTGGTTTGAGGACCACACTTTTAAAAACCCTGCCCAGAGCCTACCCGTAATTTATGTGGTCATTATTTGAGCGTATCTGAAAGTGACTGACAATTTATAAAAAGCCAGTTTAGTGTAGATAAAGACTTAACAGTGAGCAACAGCTGCTTATTCCAGTAGAGCCTTGTTGTTTGGCATTTGGGGAAAATGAGCATTATACATAAGATAATTTCTTTAAATTAATACTTTATTTTTTTAGAGCAGTTTTAGGTTTACAGGAATTTGAGCAGATAGTACAGAGAGTTCCCACATATTTCCTCTCACCTACGTTTCAGTTTCCCTGGGTACACTTGTTACTGTTGTACACTAACACTTGTTAGTATCAAACTGATACTGATACCTTGTTATTAAATGAAGTTCAGAGTTTAGGGTTTACTCTTTGTGCTGTACATTCTATGGGTTTTGACAAGTGTACACTGTTCTGTATCCACCATTACAGTGCCCTACAGAATAGTTCCAGTGCTCTAAGAATCCCCTGTGCTCCACCTATTCATCTGTTACCCACTCCCCTGTTCCAAAGTTTTGGCAACCATCGATCTTTTCATTGTCACTATCCTTTTGGCTATTTCAGAGTGTCTTCTTGTTGGGGTTCAATTAGGTTGGTGGGAAAAATATTAAAGATAGTTATAGTAATAGTCAAAAACTCTCTTGGAAGGCCTGAGAGTTTTTGACTATTACTATAACTATCTTTAAAGGCCTGAGAGTTTTTGACTACTACTATAACTATATTTAATATTTTTCCCACCAGCCTGATTGAACCCCAACACCTTCTATAGATGAATCATATAGTATAGTATATGTATAGTTTGGTAGCCTTTTCAGATGGTTTCTTTTCACTAGGGAACATGAGTTTAAGATTACTTTATGTCTTTAAGTGGCTTGATAGCTCATTTCTTTTTATTGCTGAATAATACTCCGTTATATGGATATACCACAGTTTATTTATCCATTTGCCTTTTGAAGGACATCTTAGTTGCTTTCAGTTTTTTTGCAATTATGAGTAAAGCTACTATAAACATTTGTGGGCAGGTTTTTGTGTGGACTTGAGTTTTCAACTTACTTGGGTAAATACCTAGTTGTGCAATTGGTGAATTGTATTGGTAAGATGAGGTTTCAGCTTTGTTAAGAAACTGCCAAGCTATCTTCCAAAGTGGCTGTACCATTTTGCATTCCCACCATCAATGAATGAGATATTGTTCCACATCCCTGCCAGCATTTGATACTGTTAGTTTTTTTGGATTTTCACCATTCTAATAGGTATGTGGTAGTATCCTACTGTTATTTTTTATTTTATTTTATTTTATTTTATTTTATTTTATTTTTTTGAGACAGAGTCTCACTGTGTCACCCAGGCTGGAGTGCAGTGGTGTGATCTTGGCTTACTGCAACCTCCACCCACCAAGTTCAAGTGATTCTCCTGCCTCAGCCTCTCGAGTAGTTGGGATTACAGGCGCCTGCCACTGCACCTGGCTAATTTTTGTGGAGACAGGGTTTCACCATCTTGGCCAGCCTGGTCTTGAACTCCTGACCTCATGATCCACCCACCTCGGCCTCCCAAAGTGCTGGGATTACAGGCGTGAGCCACCACACCCGGCCTATCCCACTGTTATTTTAATTTACAATTCCCTAGTAACATATCATGTTGAACATCTTTGCATATATTTATTTACCATATGTATATCTTTTTTAGTGAGGTGCTCTGTTCAGATATATTGGCCATTTTGTAATAAAGTTGTTTGTTTTCTTGTTGAGTATTGAGTTCTTTGTAGATTTTGATACAAGTCTCTTATTGGATATGTTTTGCAAATATTTTCTCTCAATCTGTGGCTTGTTTTTCATTCTCTCAATAGTTTCTTTTGTAGAGCAGAGTTTTTAATTTTCATGAAGCCCAACTTACCAATTTTTTGTTTCATTGATTATGCTTTTGGCGTTTATCTAAAAAATTATTACCATACAAAATGTCATCTAGAGTTTCTCCAATTTTTATTTCTAAGAGTTTTATAGTTTTGAATTTTACATTTAGCTCTATGATCCATTCTAAGTTAATTTTTGTGAGGTTGTAAGGTCTGTGTCTGGCTTCATTTTTTTTATGCATGTGGATGTCCAGTTGTTACAGCACCATTTATTGAAAAGACTATCCTTTCTCCATTGAATTATCTTTTGCTATTTAGTTTAATATCAGTTGACTCTATTTGTGTGGGTCTATTTTTGGGGTCTGTGTTCTGTTCCCATGATCTATTTGTCTGTTCTTGTACAAATACCACACTGTTTTGATTATTGTAGCTTTATAGTAAGTCTCAGAGTCAGGTAGTGTCAGTCCTCCAACTTTGTTCTTTTTCAGTATTGGTTTTTGTAGTCTTTTGTCTTTTCATTTAAACTTTAGTTTACATGTTTGTTGATACACAAAATAAGTTGTTGGGATTTTGATTGGGATTGTGCTGAATGTATGTTAGGAAGAACTAACATTTTAACAATATTGAGTATTCCTATTCAGATAAGTTTCTTAATGTGTAAAAATATTTCTCTGTAAGCTTTAAACCTTTAAATATAACAATATTTTAGCTAATACTTATAAAATATGTTAATTTCCTTAACTTTCCAAAAGTTTATGAAACAAAACTTGACCTTTTCCTTATGACTTAAGACCATCCCTGTAAGCTTTATTGTATTGGATGTTAATACAGTTGTATCAACTGCTTATTCTTCTATCTCTCAATTAGGTGTTTAGTTATCATTATGGTTGTTTGGGTGTCTCTGCCACCATCTGCACTGTGGACTCCTTCAAGGCTGGGATTGTATTTTGGCTGTTGATGCTTCCCCAGTCCAGCAGACACTTTATACTTGTTCGTTGAATGAACTGTGATTGTCTCCAACATCCATTTATCTTTTCTTATTTTTCTGCTTCTAATCTGTTGTACTCTAGAAAAACAGAAAAACTTCATTAAGAACTGTATGTTTACAAAGAGTCAATTAGGTTCAAAACAAAGCCCCTCGTACAATCTTTGTGAGAGCCATTGTGGCTTTTAGAGAAGTACAGTGCTACTGTGTATATTCAAACATATAGAAAATTTGAATATCCATGTGTCTTCCATCTAAAAAAAATTGTTAATGTCCTGTCATATTTTCATGTCTCCCTTGCATATATTAATACATACATACACATGTGCTGTGCCATGTGAAAATTAGTAATGAGTTGTAAAGTCCCATATAATTGAACATGCATCATCTAGGAATAAATATGATGGAAATACTTTACTATACCTAAGAAATTAATCATAACGATGTAATATCATGTAGTAGACATTCCATATTTAATTTTTTTCAATTGTTACAATAATATCTTTTTTTGTAATCCGTCCTAAATTCCCACATTGCAGTTGGCAAGTGTGTTGTGTTGTGTGGTGTGATGTGTTGGGTGGTATGATATGTTGGTTGTGCTGTGTAGCCTTATGTAAGTCATTTCACATTCCTGGTAGTATAGGATGATCTCTAGTGTCATTTTGAGCTCTGAGAGTCTATGAGTCTATAATTATAGGCCATTTTAGTTCTATAAGGTTGTGATTTTATTTATTTATTTGTTAGAGACAGAGGCTTGCTCTGTTGCTCTGAAGTGCAATGGTTTGATAGGAGCTCACTGCAACCTCAAACTCCTGGGCCCAAGGAATCCTCCTTCCTTAGACTCACAAGTAGTTGGGACTACAGACATGGATCACCATGCCTGGCTAATATAAAAAAATGTTTTGTAGAGACCAGGTCTGGCTATATTTGCCTAGGCTGATCTCAAACTCCTGGCCTCAAGCAAAACTCCCACCTCAGCCTCCCAGAGTGTTGGGATTACAGGCAGGAGCCACTGTGGTAGCTTTTGTGATTTATTTTATTTATTTATTTTTCTTTTCTTTTTAAATTATACTTTAAGTTCTGGGTTACATGTGCAGAACGTGCAGGTTTGTTACATAAGTATACATGTGCCATGGTGGTTTGCTGAACCCATCAAACGGTCATCTACATTAGGTATTTCTCCTAATGCTATCCCTCCCCTTGCCCCCTACCCCCTGCCAGGCCCCAGTGTGTGATAGTCCCCTCCCTGTGCCCATATGTTCTCATTGTTCAACTCCGACATGTAAGTGAGAACATGCAGTGTTTGGTTTTCTGTTCCTGTGTTAGTTTGCTGAGAATGATGGTTTCCAGCTTCATTCATGTCCCTGCAAAGGACACGAACTCATTCTTCTTCATGGCTGCATAGTATTCCGTGGTATATATGTGCCACATTTTCTTTAGCCAGTCTAACATTGATGGGCATTTGGGTTGGTTCCAAGTCTTTGCTATTGCTAGTAGTACTGCAATAAACATATGTGTGCATGTGTCTTTATAGTAGAATGATTTATAATCCTTTGGGTATATGCCCAGTAATGGGATTGCTGGGTCAAATGGTATTTCTAGTTCTAGATCCCTGAGGAATCACCACACTGTCTTCCACAATGGTTGAACTAATTTACAATCCCACAAACAGTGTAAAAGCATTCCTATTTCTCCACATCCTCTCCAGCATCTGTTGTTTCCTGACTTTTTAATGATTGCCATTCTAACTGGTGTGGGGTGGTATCTCATTGTGATTTTGATTTGTATTTCTCTAATGACCAGTGATGATGAGTTTTTTTTCATATGTTTGTTGGCTGCATAAATGTCTTCTTTTGCAAAGCATCTGTTCATATCTTTTGCCTACTTTTTGATGGGATTGTTTGTTTTTTTCTTGTGAATTTGTTTAAGTTCCTTGTAGATTCTGGATATTGGCCCTTTGTCAGATGGATAGATTGCAAAATTTTTCTCCCAGTCTGTAGGTTGTCTGTTCACTCTGATGATAGCTTCTTTTGCTGTGCAGAAGCTCTTTAGTTTAATTAGATCCTATTTGTCAATTTTGGCTTTTGTTGCCATTGCTTTTGGTGTTTTAGTGATGAAGTCTTTGCCCATGCCTATGTCCTAGGTTTTTTTCCTAGGGTGTTTTTTATGGTTTTAGGTCTTACGTTTAAATCGTTAATCCATCTTGAGTTAATTTTTGTATAAGGTATAAGGAAGGGGTCCAGTTTCAGTTTTCTGCATATGCTAGCCAGTTTTCCCAACACCATTTATTAAATAGGGAATCCTTTCCCTATTGCTTGTTTTTTTTCAGATTTGTCAAAGATCAGACGGTTGTAGGTGTGTGGTGTTATTTCTGATGCCTCTGTTCTGTTCCATTGGTCTATATATCTGTTTTCGTACCAGTACCATGCTGTTTTGATTACTTTAGCTTTGTAGTATAGTTTGAAGTCAGGTAGTGTGATGCCTCCAGTTTTGTTCTTCTTGCTTAGGATTGTCTTGGCTAGACAAGCTCTTTTTTGGTTCCACATGAAATTTAAAGTAGTTTTTTCTAATTCTGTGAAGAAAGTCAATGGTAGCTTGACAGGCATAGCATTGAATCTATAGATTACTTTGGGCAGTATGGACATTTTCATGATATTGATTCTTCCTATCCATGAGCATGGAATGTTTTTCCATTTGTGTCCTCTCTTATTTCCTTGAGCAGTGGTTTGTAGTTCTCCTTGAAGAGGTCCTTCACATCCCTTGTAAGTTGTATTCCTAGTTATTTTATTCTCTTTGTAGCAATTGTGAGTGGGAGTTTGCTCATGATTTGGCTCTCTATTTGTCTGTTATTGGTGTACAGGAATGCTTGTGATTTTTGGACATTGATTTTGTATGCTGAGACTGCTGAAGTTGCTTATCAGCTTAAGCAGCTTTTTGGCTGAGACGATGGGGTTTTCTAAATATACATTCATGTCATCTGCAAACAGAGATAATTTGACTTCCTCTCTTCCTATTTGAATACCCTTTATTTCTTTCTCCTACCTGATTGCCCTGGCCAGAACTTCCAATACTATGTTGAATAGGAGTGGTGAGAGAGGGCATCCTTGTCTTGTGCTGGTTTTCAAAGGGAATGCTTCCAGCTTTTGCCCATTCAATATGATATTGGCTGTGGGTTTGTTATAATAGCTGTTATTATTTTGAGATATGTTCTATCAATACCTAGTTTATTGTTTTTAGCATGAAGGAATATTGAATTTTATCAAAGGCCTTTTCTGCATCTATTGAGATAATCATGTGGTTTTTCTCATTGGTTCTGTTTATATGATGGATTATGTTTATTGATTTGCATATGTTGAACTAGCCTTGCATCCTAGGGATGAAGCCTATTTGATTGTGGTGGATACACTTTTAAATGTGCTGCTGAATTCGGTTTGCCGGTATTTTATTGAGGATTTTCGCATCGATGTTCATCAGGGATATCGGCCTAAAAGGTTGTTGTTGTTGTTGTATCTTTGCCAGGTTTTGGTATCAGGATGATGCTGGCCTCATAAAATGAGTTAGGGAGGGTCCCTCTTTTTCCATTGTTTGGAATAATTTCAGAAGAAATGGTACCAGCTCGTCTTTGTACCTCTGGTAGAAATTGGCTGTGAATCCGTCTGGTTCTGGGCTTTTTTTGGTTGGTAGGCTATTAATTACTGCCTCAATTTCAGAACTTGTTATTGGTCTATTCAGTGATTTGACTTCTTCCCAGTTTAGTCTTGGGAGGGTGTATGTGTCCAGGAATTTATCCATTTCTTCTAGATTTTCTAGTTTATTTACATAGAGGTGTTTATAGTATTCTCTGATGATAGTTTGTATTTCTGTGGGATCAGTGGTGATATCCCCTTTATCATTTTTTTATTGTGTCTATTTGATTTTTCTATCTTTTTTTCTTTATTAGTGTGGCTAGTGGTCTATCTATTTTGTTCATCTTTTCAAAAAACCAGCTCCTGGATTCACTGATTTTTTGGAGGGTTTTTCATGTCCCTCTCTCCTTCAGTTCTGCTCTGATCTTAGTTATTTTTTGTCTTCTGCTAGCTTTTGAATTTGTTTGCTCTTGCTTCTCTAGTTCTTTTAATTGTGATGTTAGGGTGTTGATTTTAGATCTTTCCCACTTTCTCCTGTGGGCATTTAGTGCTATAAATTTCCCTCTAAACACTGCCTTAGCTGTTTCCCAGAGATCCTGGTACGCTGTGTCTTTGTTCTCATTGGTTTCAAAGAACTTACGTAATTCTGCCTTAATTTTGTTATTTACCCAGTAGTCATTCAGGAGCAGGTTGTTCAGTTTCTATGTAGTTGTGTGGTTCTGAGTGAGTTTCTTAATCCTGAGTTTTAATTTCGTCGCACTGTGGTCTGAGAGACTGTTTGTTATGATTTCCGTTCTTTTGCATTTGCTGAGGAGTGTTTTACTTCCAGTTATGTGGTTGATTTTATAATAAGCGCAGTGTGGTGCTGAGAACAATGTATATTCTGTTGATTTGGGGTGGAGAGTTCTGTAGATGTTTATTAGGTCTGCTTGGTCCAGAGCTGAGTTTGAGTCCTGAATATCTTTGTTAATTTTCTGTCTCATTGTTCTGTCTAATATTGACAGTGGGGTGTCAAAGTCTCCCACTATTATTGTGCGGGAGTCTATGTCTCTTTGTAGGTCTCTAAGAACTTGCTTTATGAATCTGGATGCCCCTGTATTGGGTGCATATATATTTAAGATAGCTCTTCTTGTTGCATTGATCCCTTTACCATTATGTAATGCCCTTCTTTGTCTGTTTTGATCTTTGTTGGTCTAAAGTCTGTTTTATCAGAGACTAGGATTGCAACCCCTGCTTTTTTCCTGCTTTCTATTTGCTTGGTAAATCTTCATCTGTCCCTTTATTTTGATTCTATGAGTGTCTTTGCATGTGAGATGGGTCTCCTGAATACAGCACACAGATAGGTCTTGACTCTTCATCCAATTTGCCAGTCTGTGCCTTTTAAGTTGGGCATTTAGCCCATTTACATTTAAGGTTAATATTGTTATGTGTGAATTAGATCCTGTCATTATGATGTTAGCTCGTTATTTTGCCCAGTAGTTGATGCAGTTTTTTCATAGTGTCAATGGTCTTTGCATTTTGGTTTGTTTTTACAGTGGCTGGTACCATTTTTTCCTTTCCATATTTAGTGCTTCCTTCAGGAGCTCTTGTAAGGCATGCCTGGTGGTGACAAAATCCCTCAGCATTTGCTTGTCTGTGAAGAATTTTATTTCTCTTTCACTTATGAAGCTTAGTTTGGCTGGATATGAAATTCTGGGTTGAAAATTCTTTTTTTAAAGAATATTGAATATTGGCCGCCACTCTCTTCTGACTTGTAGGATTCCTGCAGAGAGATTTGCTGTTAGTCTAATGGGCTTCCCTTTGTGGGTTACCTGATTTTTCTCTCTGGCTGACCTTAACATTTTTTCCTTCATTTCAACCTTGGTGAATCTGACAATTATGTGTCTTGGGGTTGCTCTTCTTGAGGAGTATCTTTGTGGTGTTCTGTGTATTTCCTGAATTTGAATGTTGGCCTGTCTTGCTAGGTTGGGGAAGTTCTCCTGGGTAATACCCTGAAGAGTGTTTTCCAACTTGGTTCCATTCTCCCTGTCATTTTCAGGTATACCAATCAAATGTATGTTTGGTCTTTTCACATAGTCCTGTGTTTCTTGGAGGCTGTGTTCGTTCCTTTTCATTCTTTTTTCTCTAATCTTGTCTTCATGATTTATTTCATTAAGTTGATCTTCAATCTCTGATATCGTTTCTTCTGCTTGATCGATTTGGTTATTGATACTTGCGTATGCTTCACAAAGTTCTTGTGCTGTGTTTTTCAGCTCCATCAGGTCATTTATGTTTTTCTCTAAACTGTTTATTCTAGTTAGCAATCACTCTAACCTTTTATCAACGTTCTTAGCTTCCTTGCATTGGGTTAGAATATGCTCCTTTATCTTGGAGCAGTTTGTTATTACCCACCTTCTGAAGGCTACTTCTATCAATTCATCAAACTCATTCCCCAACCAGTTTTTTTCCCTTGCTGGCAAGGAGTTGTGATCCTTTGGAGGAGAAGAGGCATTCTGGTTTTTGGAATTTTCAGTTTTTGTGCTGGTTTTTCCTCATCTTCATGGATCTAATTACCTTTGGTCTTTGCTGTTGGTGACATTTGGATGGTGTCTTTGTGTGGTCATCCTTTTTGTCGATGTTGATGCTATTGCTTTCTGTTTGTTAGTTTTCCTTCCAACAGTCAGGCCCCTTTCCTGCAGGTCTGCTGGAGATTGCTGGGTGTCCACTCCAGACCCTGTTTACCTGGGTGTCACCAGCAGAGCCTGCAGAACATCAAAGATTGCTGCCTGCTACTTTGTCTGGGAGCTTTGTCCTGCCAGATGCAAGTGGGAACTCTCCTGTATGATGTGTCTGTTGACCCCCGCTGGGAGGTGTCTCCCCATCAGGAGGCATAGGGGTCAGGGACCCACTTGAGGAGGCAGTCTGTCCCTTAGCAGAGCTTGAGTGCTGTGCTGGGAGATCTGCTGCTCTCTTCAGAGCCAGCAGGCAGGAATGTTTAAGTCTGCTGAAGCTACACCCACAGCTGCCCCTTACCCCAGCTGCTCTGTCCCAGTGAGATGGGAGTTTTATCTTTAAGCCCCTGACTGGGGCTGCTGCCTTTCTTTCAGAGATGTCCTGCCCAGAGAGGTGGAATCTAGAGAGGCAGTCTGGCTACAGCAGCTCTGTGGCGCTGTGGTGGGCTCCGCCCAGTCTGAACTTCCTGGCGGCTTTGTTTACACTGTGAGGAGAAAACCGCCTAATCAAGCCTCAGTAATGGTGAACGCCCCTCTCCCCACCAATCTCGAGCGTTCCAGGTCGACTTCAGACTGCTGTGCTGGCAGCGAGAATTTCAAGCCAGTGGATCTTAGCTTGCTGGGCTCCATGGGGGTCAGATCTGCTGAGCCAGACCAGTTAGCTCCCTGGCTTCACCCCCTTTCCAGGGGAGTGAATGGCTCTGTCTTGCTGGTGTTCCAGGCGTCACTGGGGTACGAAAAAAAGCTGCAAATAACTCAGTGTTTGCCCAAACTGTCGCCCAGTTTTGTGCTTGAAACCCAGGGCTCTGGTGGTGTAGGCACCCAAGGGAATCTCCTGGTCTGTGGGTTTCAAAGACCATGTGAAAAGCGTAGTAACTGGGCCGGGGTGCACCATTCCTCATGGCACAGTCCCTCATGGCTTCCCTTGGGTTGGGGAGGGAGTTCCCCAACCCCTTGCACTTCCTGGGTGAGGCAACGCCCCACCCTGCTTCTGCTCGCCCTCTGTGGGCTGCACCCACTGTCTAACCAGTCCCAATGTGATGAGCTGGGTACCTCAGTTGGAAATGCAGAAATCACCTGCCTTCTGCGTTGG
Source organism: Homo sapiens (assembly GCF_000001405.40). Taxonomy (NCBI): domain Eukaryota; kingdom Metazoa; phylum Chordata; class Mammalia; order Primates; family Hominidae; genus Homo; species Homo sapiens. Next base: position 104,670,836 of record NC_000006.12, on the reverse strand, counting down.
TCTCGCTGGGAGCTGCAGACTGGAGCTGTTCCTATTTGGCCATCTTGCCCAGGAATCCCCCATTTATTTATTTGTTTATTTATTTAGACAGAATCTCATTCCTTTGCCCAGGCTGAAGTGCAGTGGCACAATCATGGCTCATTGCAGCCTCAAGTTTTCAGGCTCAGGTGGTGATCCTCCTACCTCAGCCTCCTGGGAAGCTGGGACTACAGGTCATACCACTATACCTAGCAATTTTTTTTTTTTCACAGAGATAGGGTCTCACCATGTTGCCAGGCTGGTCTTGAACTCCCAGGCTCAAGTGATCTGCCCACCTTGGCCTCCTGAAGTGTTAGAATTACAGGCAAGAGTCACTGCTCCAGTCTGTAATCATTTTTAAGGAATCACAGGTGTTGAAATGTTATGCAGTAATTTGACAGGAATTGATAAACTACCAAGTAAAAGAGCAATGTATTAAATAAGATTTCAAATAACCAAACTCAGGCTTATCTCCATGGGATTTTTAAATATTTATTTTACGTGGAACTCAGCTATATGAAAACAAAAATATATCTATTTATTGATATCTTTAAAGACTATGGAGAACCAAGAAGAGAATTGAGGCCACTGACCACTTGCAGAAGCTTTTTTTCCAGCACAGTAACCATTTTAACTATACTATGACCCTGTTGAGAAAATAAATTTTTTTTTTTTAGGTAATTGAATTGATTTCTCATGTCAAAATAGTAATTTTTTTTTTAGCTAGAAATTTTCTCTCTCTCTTTCTGTCTCTTTTTTTTTTCTTAAAAGTCCAACTTTGAAGTTCAGGGGTACCTGTGCAGGATGTGCAGATTTGTTATATAGGTAAATGTGTGCTGTGGTGGTTTGCTGCACAGATCATCCCATTACCCAGGTATTAAGCCCAGCATTCATTAGCTATTCATACTGATGCTCTCCCTCCCACACACAACCCTCTGACAAGCCCCACTGTGTGTTGTTCCCCGCCACGTGTCCATGTGTTCTCATCATTTGTAAGGGAGAACACATGGTATAAGGGAGAACACATGGTATTTGGTTTTCTGTTCCTGCATTCATTTGCTAAGGATAATGGCCTCTAGCTCCATCCATGTCTCTGCAAAGGACATGATCTCATTCCTTTTTATGGCTGCATAGTATTCCGTAGAGTACATGTACTGCGTTTTCATTATCCAGTCTAATATCGATAGGCATTTAGGTTCATTCCATGTCTTTGCTATTGTGACTAATGCAGCAATGAACATATGTGTGCATATATCTTTATAATAGAATGATTTTTATTCCTTTGGATGTATACCCAGCAATGGAATTGTTGGGTCAAATGGTATTTCTTGTTCTAAATCTTTGAGGAATCGCCACGCTGACGTCCTCAATGGTTAAACAGATTTACACTCATACCAACGTGTAAAAGCATTCCTTTTTCTCCACAGCCTTGCCAGCACCTGTTGTTTTTTGACTTTTTAATAATACCCATTCTGACTGATGTGAGATGGTATCTCATTGTGATTTTGATTTGCATTTCTTGAATGATCAGTGATCTTGAGCTTTTTTTCATATGTTTGTTAGGTATGTATATGTCTTCTTTTGAGAAGTGTCTATTCTTGTCCTTTGCCCACTTTTTAATGGAGTCATTTGTTTTTTTCTTGTACATTTGTTTAAGTTCCTTATAAATGCTGGCTATTAGACCTTTGTCAGATGGAGAGATTGCAAAATTTTTCTCCCATTCTCTAGGGTTTTCTCCCATTCTGTAGGTTTATTTACTCTGTTGATAGTTTCTTTTGCTGTGCAGAAGCTCTTTAGTTTACTTAGATCTCATTTGTCAAGTTTTGCTTTTGTTGCAATTGCTTTTGGTGTCTTTGTCATGAAATCTTTGCCCATGCCTATGTCCTGAATGTTATTGCCTAGGTTTTCCTCTAGGGTTTTTATAGTTTTGGGTTTTACATTTAATTCTTTAATCCATCTTAAGTTAATTTTTGTATATGGTATAAGGAAGGAGTCCAGTTTCAATTTTCTGTATATGCCTAGCCAGTTCTCCCAGCACCATTTATTAGATAGGGAATCCTTTCCCCATTGCTTGTTTTTGTCAGGTTTGTTGAAGATCAGATGGTTGTAGGTGTGCAGTCATATTTCTGGGTTCTCTATTCTGTTCAATTGGCCTATATGTCTGTTTTTGTATGTGGACCATGGAGTTTTGGTGACTGTAGCCCTGTAGTATAGTTCAAAGTCGGGTAGCGTGATGTTTCCAGCTTTGTTCTTTTTGCTTAGGGTTGCCTTGGATATTCAAGCTCTTTTTTGGTTCCATATTGTATTAGTCAGGGTTCTCTAGAGGGATAGGACTAATAGGATATATATATATATATATATAATTCATATATATATTATATATAATATATATTATATATTATATATAATATATATTATATATTATATATAATATATAATATATATTATATATAATATATAATATATATTATATATGTAATTATATATATATATGAAATGGAGTTTATTAAGGAATATTGACTCACATGATCAGAAGATGAAGTTCCACAGTAAGCTGTCTGCAAGCTAATGAGCAAGGAAGCCAGTTTGAGTCCCAAAACCTCAAAAATAGGGAAGCCGACAGTGCAGCCTTTAGTCTGTGGCTGAAGGTCTGAGAGCCCCTGGTGTAGGTCCAAGAGTCCAAAAGCTGAAGACTTGGAGTCTGATGTTCGAGGGCAGGTAGCATCCAGTAATGGAGAAAGATGGAGGCCAGAAGACTTAGCCAGTCTAGCCCTTCCATGTTCCTCTGCTTGCTTTGATCCTATCTGCACTGGCAGCTGATTAGATGGTGCCCACCCAGATTGAGGGTGAGTCTGCCTCTCCTAGTGCACTGACTCAAATGTTAATCTCCTTTGGCAACACCCTCACAGACACACCCAGGGACAATACTTTGCATCCTTCAATCCAATAAAGTTGACATTCAATATTAACCATCACACATATAAATTTTAAAATAGTTTTTTTCTAATTCTGTGAAGAATGTCAATGGTACTTTAATGGGAACAGCATTGAGTCTATAAACTGCTTTGAGCATTATGGCCATTTTCATTGATATTGATTCTTCCTATCCATGTGCATGGAATGCTTTTCTGTTTGTTTGTGTCCTCTCTGATTTCTTTGAGCAGGGGTTTGTCGTTCTTCTTGAAGAGGTCCTTCACTTCCCTTGTTAGCTGAATTCCTACATATCTTATTCTTTTTGTGAATGGGAGTTCATTTGTCATTTGACTCTTGATTTGCCTGTTGTTGGTGTTTGGGAATGCTAGTGATTTTTGCACATTGATTTTGTACCCTGAGACTTTATTGAAGTTGCTGAGACTTTGCTGAAGTTGCTTATCAATTTAAGAAGCTTTTGGGCTGAGTTGATGGGGTTTTCCAGATATAACATCATGTCATCTGCAAACAAAGATATTTTGACTTCCTCTCTTCCTATTTGAATACCCTTTATTTCTTTCTCTTGTCTAATTGCCCTGGCTAGAACTTCCAATACTATGTTGGATAGGAGTGGTGAGAGAGGGGATCCTTGTCTTGTGCTGGTTTTCAAGGGGAGTGCTTCCAGCTTTTGCCCATTCAGTATGATATTGGCTATGGGTTTGTCACAGATGGCTCTTATAATTTTGAAGTATGTTCCTTCAATACCTAGTTTATTGAGAGTTGTTAACATGAAGGGATGTTGAATTTTATCAAAGGGCTTTTCTGTGTGTATTGAGATAATCATGTGGTTTTTGTCTTTAGTTCTGTTTATGTGATGAATCACATTTATTGATTTGCATATGTTGAATCAGACTTGCATTCCAGGGATGAAGCCTACTTGATCGTGGTGGATAAGCTTTTTGATGTGCTGCTGGATTCAGTTCGCCAGTATTTTGTTGAGGATTTTTGTGTCAATGTACAATCAAGGATATTGGCCTGAAGTTTTCTTTTTTTTTGTTGTATCTCTGCCAGGTTTCAGAATCAGGGTGATGCTGGCCTCATAGATTGAGTGAAGGAGGAGACCCTCCTCCTTGATTTTTTGGAATAGTTTCAGTAGAAATGGTAGCAGCTTTTCTTTGTACCTCTGGTAGAATTCAGCTGTGAATTCATCTGGTCCTGGGCTTTTTTTGGTTGGTAGGCTATTTATTACTGCCTCATTTCAGAACTGTTGTTGGCCTATTGAGGGATATGATTTCTTCCTGATTCAGTCTTGAGATGGTGTATGTGTCCAGGAATTTATTCATTTCTTCTAGATTTTCTACTTTATGTGCATAGAGTTGCTTATAGTATTCTCTGATGGTTGTTTGTATTTCTGTGGGGTCAGTGGTGATAACCCCCTTATCATTTTTGATTGTGTTTGTTTGAATCTTCTCTTTGTTCTTCTATATTGGTCTAGCTAGCAGTCTATCTATTTTATTATTTTTTTCAAAAGTCCAGCTCTTGGATTTGTTGATTTTTCAGTGGGTTTTTCATGTCCTCACCTCCTTCAGTTCAGCTCTGATCTTGGCTATTTCTTGTCTTCTGTTAGCTTTGGGGTTTGTTTGCTCTTGGTTCTCTGGTTCTTTTAATTATGATGTTAGGTTGTTCATTTGAGGTCATTCTAACTTTTTGATGTGGGCATTTAATACTATAAATTTCCCTCTTAATGCTGCTTTGCCTGTGTCCCAGATTCTGATACATTGTATCTTTGTTCTCATTAGTTTAAAATAACTTATTGATTTCTGCCTTAATTTTATTACTTACCTAAAAGTCATTCAGGAGCAGGTTGTTCAATTTCCATGTGGTTGTATGGTTTTGAGTGAATTTCTTAATCTTGAGTTCTAATTTGCTTGCTGTGGTCTGAGAACTGTTATGATTTCAGTTCTTTTGCATTTGCTGAGGAGTGTTTTACTTCCGATTATGTGATCAATTTTAGAATAAATGCCATTTAGTGATGAGAAGAATATATATTCTGTTGAATTTGAGTAGAGAGTTCGGTAGATATCTATCAGGTCCACTTGATCCAGCACTGAGTTCAGGTCTAGAATATCTTTGTTAATTTTCTGTCTCAATGATCTGTCTAATATTGTCAGTGGGGTGTTAAAGTCTCCCACTATTATTGTGTGGGAGTCTAAGTCTCTTTGTAGGTCTCTAAGCACTTGCTTTATGAATTTGGGTGCTCCTGTGTTGGGTTAATACATATTTATTATAGTTAGCTCTTCTTATTGAATTGAACCCTTTGTCATTATGTAATGCCCTTTGTCTTTTTTGATCTTTGTTGGTTTAAAGTCTGTTTTGTCAGAAACTAGGATTGCAACCCCTGCTTTTTTTGTTTTTAGTTTGCTTGGTATATTTTCCTCCTTTTCTTTATTTTGAACCTATGTGTGCCTTTGCATGTGAGATGGGTCACTTGAAGACAACATAACAATGGGCCTTGGCTCTTTATCCAGCTTGCCATTCTGTGTCTTTTTAAATTTTTTATCTTATTATTTCAATAGTTTTTCGGGAAGAGGTGGTGTTTGTTTTACATGGATAAGTTTTTTAGTGGTGATTTTTGAGATTTTGGTGTGCTTATCACTTGAGCATGGTACATTGCACTTAACGTGTAGTCTTTTATTCCTCTCCCCCTCCCACACTTCCCCCCGAGTCCCCAGAGTCCATTATATTATTCTTATGCCTTTGTGTTCTCATAGCTTAGCTCCCACTTATAAGTGAGAACATAGGATGTTTGGTTTTCCATTTTTGAGTCACTTCACTTAGAATAATGGTCTCCACCCCCATCCAGGTTGCTGCTAATGCCATTATTTCATTGCTTTTTTAGTGTCTGAGTAGTATTCCATGGTGTATATATGCCACGTTCTTTATCCACTCCTTGGTTGACAGGTATTAAAGCTGGTTCCATAGTTTTGTAATGGCAAATTGTGCTGCTATAAATATGCATGTACAAGTTGCTTTTTCATATAATGACTTCTTTTCCTCTGGGTAGATACCCAGTAGTGGGACTGCTGGATCAAATGATAGTCCTACTTTTAATTCTTTAAGGAATTTCCATACTGTTTTCCATAGTGGTTGTACTAGTTTACATTACCAGCAGCAGTGTAAAAGTGTTCTCTTTTCACCACATTCACACCAACAGCTATTATTTTTTGATTTTCTAATTATGGCCGTTCTTGTAAGAGTAAGGTGGTTTTACATTGTGGTTTTGATTTGCATTTCCCTGATAATTAGTGATGTTGTGTATTTTTTCATGTTTGTTTGCCATTTGTATATCTTCTTTTGAGAATTGTCTATTCATGTCTTAGTCCACTTTTTGATGGGATTTTCTGTTTTTTTTCCTTGCTGATTTGTTTGAGTTCCTTGAGATTCTAGATATAGTCCTTGTTTGGATGCATAGTTTGTGAATATTTTCTCCCTCTCTTTGGGTTGTCTGTTTACTCCACTGATTATTTCTTTTGCTGTGCAGAAGCTTTTTAGATTAATTAAGTCCCATCTATTAATATTTATTTTTGTTTTTGTGGCATTTGCTTTTGGGTTCTTGGTCATAAACTCTTTGCCTAAATCAATGTCTACAAGAGTTTTTCTGATGTTATCTTCTAGAATTTTTATGGTTTCAGGTTAGATGTAAGTTTTTGATCCATCTTGAGTTGATGTTTTTATAAGGTGAGAGATGAGAATCCAGTTTCATGCTTCTCTATGTGCCTTGCCAATTATCTTAGCACCATTTGTTGAGTAGGGTGCCCTTTCCCCACTTTATGGTTTTTATTTGCTTTGTCAAAGATCAGTTAACTGTATTTGGCTCTATTTCTGTGTTCTCTAATCTGGTCCACTGGTCTACATGCCTGTTTTCATACAAGCACCATGCTGTTTTGATAACTATAACCTTGTAGTATAGTTTGAAGTCTGGTAATGTGATGCCTCCAGATTTGTACTTTTTTTCTCAGTCTTGTTTTGGATATGTGGGCTCTTTTTTTGTTCCATATGAATTTTAGGATTGATTTTTCTAGTTCTGTGAAGAATGATGATGTTATTTTGTTGAAAATTGCATTGAAATTATAGATCGCTTTTGGCAATATGGTCATTTTCCCAATTGATTCTACCCATCCATGAGCATGAGCATGGGTTGTGTTTCCATTTGTTTGTGTCTTCTATGATTTATTTCAGCAGTGTTTTGTAGTTCTTGTAGAGGTCTTTCACCTCCTTGGTTAGCTATATTCCTAAGTATTTTATTATTATTATTTTTTGCAGCTGTTGTAAAAGGGGTTGAGTTCTTGATTTGATTCTCAGCTTGGTCACTGTTAGAGTGTAGCAATACTACTGGTTCGTGTACATTGACTTTGTATCCTCAAACTTTACTGAATTTATTTTTCAGATCTAGGAGCTTTAGTGTTTTCTAGGTATACAATCATATTATCAGTGAGCAGCGACAGTTTGACTTCCTTTTTACTGATTTAATGCCCTTTGTTTCTTTCTCTTGTCTGATTGCTCTGGCTAGGACTTCCAGTACTATGTCGAATAGAAATGGTGAAAGTGGGCATCCTTGGCTTGGTCCAGTTCTCAGGGGGAATGCTTTCAACTTTTCCCCTTTCAGTATAATGTTGGCTGTGTGTTTGTCATAGATAGCTTTTATTACCTCAAGGTATGTCCCTTCTATGCCAATTTAGCTGAGGCTTTTAATCATAAAGATGTTGGATTTTGTCAAATGCTTTTCCTACATATATTAAGATGATAATGTAATTTTTGTTTTTAATTCTGTTTATGTGATGTATCATATTTATTGACTTGGATATGTTAAACCGACCCTGAATCCTTGATAGGAAATCTATTTGATCATGGTGTATTATCTTTTTGATATGATTTTGGATTCAGTTAGCTAGTGTTTTGCTAAGGATTTTTGCATCTATGTTTATCAGGGAAATTGGCCTATAGTTTTCTTTTATTTGTTATGTCCTTTCTTGTTTTTGATTTATGGTAATACGGGCTTCATAGAATGATTTAGGAGGATTCCTTATTTCTATATCTTTTGGAATAGTATCAGTAGGATTGGAACCAATTCTTCTTTGAATGTCTGGTAGAATTCAGCTTTGAATCCATCTGGTCCTGGATATTTTTTGTTGGCAATTTTAAAATTACTGTTTCAATCTTGCTACTTGTCATTGGCCTGTTCAGGGTTTCTATTTCTTCCTGGTTTAATCTAGAAGGGTTGTATATTTCCATGAATTTATCCATCTCCTCTAGGTTTTCTCATTTGTGCACATAAAGGTGTTTGTAGTAGCTTTGAATGATCTTTTGTATTTCTGTGGTATTGGCTGTAATATCTTCTGTTTCATTTCTAATTGAGGTTAATTGGACCTTTTCTCTTCTTTTGGTCTATTGATTTATCTTTTCAAAGAATCAGCTTTTTGTTTCATTTATCTTTTATATACTTTTTTCAATTTCATTTAATTCTGCTCTGGCCTTGGTTATTTCTTTTCTTCTGCTGGGTTTGGATTTTATTTGTTCTTGTTTCTCTAGTTCCTTGAGGTTGGAACTTAGATTGTCTGTTTGTGCTCTTTAAGACTTTTTGATATAGGCATTTAATGCTATGAACTTTCCTTTTAGTATTGCTTTTACTGTATCCCAGTGGTTTTGGTAGGTTGTGTCACTATTATCATTCATCTCAAATAATTTTTAAATTGCCATCTTGATTTCATTGTTGACCCAAAGTTCATTCAGGAGCAGATTATTTAATTCCCATGTATTTGTATAGTTTTGAGGATTCCTTTTGGAGTTAATTTCCAATTTTATTCCACTATGATCTGAGAGAGTACTTGATATAATTTCAATTTTTTAAAATTTATTGCCTTGTTTTGTGGCCTATCATATGGTCTGTCTTGGCGAGTATCCCATGTGCTGATGAAAAGAACATATATTCTGCACTTGCTGGATAGAATGTTCTATAAATATCTGTTAAGTCCATTTGTTCTAGGGTATAGTTTAAGTTCATAGTTTCTTTGTTGACTTTCTGTTTTGATGACCTCTCAATGTTGTCAGTGAAGTATTGAGGTCCACCAATATTATTGTGGTGCTGTCTATCTTATTTCTTAGTTCTAGCAGTAATTGTTTTATGAATTTGGGAGCTCCAGTATTAGTTATACGTATATTTAGGATTGTGATATTTTCCTGTTGGACTAATCCTTTTATCATTATATAACATCCCTCTTTGTCTTTTTAAACTGTTGTTGCTTTGAAGTCTGTTTTGTCTGACATAAGAATAGCTACATCTGCTCACTTTTGGTTTCTATTTGCATATACTGTATTTTCTATCTTTTTTTAACCCCTTTACCTTAAATTTATGTGTGTCCTTATGTGTTAGGTGAGTCTCTTGAAGAACGCAGATACTTGGTTGGTGGGTTTTTATCCATTCTGCCATTCTGCATCTTTTAAGTGGAGCAATTAGGTCATTTACATTCAATATTAGTATTGAGGTGTGATGTACTGTTCTATTCATCATGCTAGTTGAATACCTTGTTGTTGTTGTTTTTTAATCTTGTGTTGTTGTTTTATAGGCTCTGTGAGATTTATGCTTTGAGGAGGTTCGAATTTGGTGTATTTCAAGGTTTTGTTTCAATATTTAAAACCCCTTTTGGCATTTCTTGTAGTGCTGGCTTGGTAGTCAAGAATTCTGTCAGCATTTGTTTGTCTGAAAAGTATTTTTATCTCTCCTTCATTTATGAAGCTTAGTTACATTGGATAGAAAATTCTTGGCTGGTAATTATTTTGTTTCAGGAGGCTAAAGATAGGACCCCAATCCCTTCTGGCTTGTAGGGTTTTGCTGAGAAATCTGCTGTTAATCTGATAGGTTTTCCTTTATAGGTTACCTGTTGCATTTGCCCCATAGCTCTTAAGATTCTTTCCTTCATCTTGACTTTAGATAACCTAACGATTATGTGCCTAGGTGATGATCTTTTTGCAATGAATTTCCTGGGTGTTCTTTGAACATCTTGTGTTTGGATGTCTAGATCTCTAGCCAGACCAGAAAATTTTTCCTTGAGTAGTCCCTCAAATAATTTTTCCAAACGTTTATATTTCTCTTCTTCCTCAGGAACACCAATTATTCTTATGTTTGGTAATTTAACATAATCCCAAATTTCTTGGAGGCTTTGTTCATTTTTTAAATTATTTTTTCTTTGTCTTTGTCAGGTTGGGTTAATTCGAAAGCCTTGTGTTTCAGCTAGGAAGTTCTTTCTTCTACTTATTTGATTCTGTTAACTTTCCAGTGTATTTTGCATTTCTCTAAGTTTGTCTTTCATTTCTAGAACTTGTGGTTGTCTTCTTTATGACATTTATTTCTCTGGAGACTTTTTAATGCATATCTTGTATTGTTTTAAAAATTTCTTTAAGTTGTTTTTCATCTTTCTCTGGTACCTCCTTGAATAGCTTAATAGTCAACCTTCTGAATTTTTTATCTGGCAATTCAGAGATTTCTTCTTGGTTTAGATCCATTGCTGGAGAGCTAGTATGATCTTTTGCGGGTGTCATAGAACCTTGTTTTCTCATATTACCAGAATTACTTTTCTGGTTCCATCTCACTTGGGTAGACTGTTTCAGGGGAAAGATATGGAACTCAAGGGCTGCTGTTCAGATTCTTTTGTCCCACAGAGTGATCCTTTGATGGGGTGCTCTCCCCCTTCCCCCAGAGATAAGGCTTCCTGAGAGCCAGACTTCAGTGAGGGAGTTTGCTTTTGCCCTTCTGGGTCTAGCCATTCATCGGGGCTACTGGGCTCCAGGCTGGTGCCAGGGAATGTATGCAAAGAATCCTGTGATGTGATCTGTCTTCAGGTCATTCAGCCATGGATACCAGCACCTGCTCCAGTGGGGGTGGTAGGGGAGTGAAGTGGACTCTGTGGGAGTCCTTGGTTGTAGTTTTGTTTAGTGCCCTGGTTTTCTCAAATGCTGGTTATGCTAGCAGTGAAGTTGTCACATGGACAGATTCAGGACGTCTGGTTAGTCAGGGTGTTGCAGGTGGTGGAATTAGCTCTTGTTTTCTCCTTTGGAGCAGGGTTGTTCTGTTATGAGTTGCTGTAATGGCCTGAGTTTGTTGACCTCCAGCCAGGAGTTGGTGCTTTCAGGACAACACCAGCTGCAGTAGTAGAAGGGGGATATCTTCTTGTCCTTCATTAACCAGGTTAAGTACCTGGGTTTCTCAGGTGATGGGTGGGGCCATAGAGCTCCCAAGAGTTTATGTCTTTTGTCTTTGGCTACCAGGATTGGTAGCAAAAAAACCATAGTGGGATCAGAGTTAGGCAGGTCTGAGCTCTGACTCTCCTTAGGTAGGGCTTGCTGTGGCCACTGTGGGGGATGGGAGGTGGTTTTCAGGCCAGTAGAGTTATGTTTCCACGGGATTATGGCTGGCTCTGCTATGTCATGCAGGTCACCAGGGAAGTAGGGGAAAGCTGGCAGTGAGAGGCCTTTCTCAGCTGCCATGAAGCCAGCAAGGCCAGTCTCAGTCACACCATGCCCTACGAACAGCACCAAGTTCATACCTGGGCAGCTGGTCAGCATGGCTGAGATCTTGCCCTAGATTATAAGCCTTCTGGCTGAGAAAGGAAGCAGGGCTCTTAGGCCCCACCCTTCTCCACCTGCCTGCACCTTTGGCTGTGGCTTCTGTGCTCATATCTGCACTTCCAGTTTGCCTCCTGGGTCCTGCTCAGAAAAATTCATGCTTAGTTGAAATTATTGCAAAGTTCAGCTAGGAGCTTCCTTCACCCTGTGGCCCCTCCCCAATTCTACTGGTGGCCTTTCCTGAGGGTCCCTGTGAGATAAGGCAAGGGATGGCTTCACTGGGTTCGAGCTGGGGACCAAGACTGCCTGCAGGCCTCTTTCCACTGCTTCTTCTACTTTTATATTTCGCTTGGCTCCCTAAATCCATGTCAGCTCTAGGTAAGGTTAAATTCTTCTCTCGTGATCTGGATTTTTAGGTTCCCCAGTGGGGATTATATTTGGAGGCAGCCATTTCCCCTCTTCTACTTTGGGAACTCACAGTTTTTTGGCTAACGGAGTTTGCAGCAGCAAGCCACTGCTTTCAAAGGGGCTGTGAATTTTTTCAGTTTCTCTGGTATGTTCCTGCAGTGGTTCTTGGAGCAAAAGTTCACAATGTGAGTCTCCACATGCCCCTCCACAGTTCTGTCTGTCCAAGCGGGAGCTGCAGGTTAGTCCTGTCTCCTATCTGCCATTTTTCTGGCTATGATTCCTTCCATTCTGTGTCTTTTAATTGGGGGATTAAACCCATTTAGATTTAAGATTAGAATTGTTATGTGTGGTTTTGATCCTGTCATCACGATGCTAGCTGGTTATTTTGCAAACTTGTTTATGTGGTTGCTTCATAGTGTCACTGGTCTGTGTACTTCATTGTGTTTTTGTAGTGGTTGGGAATGATTTTTCCCTTCCATATTTAGTGCTTCCTTCAGGAGCTCTTGTAAGGCAGGTCTAGTGGTAATGAATTCCCTCAGCATTTGCTTGTCTGAAAAGGATCTTGTTTCTCCTTTGCTTATGAAGCTTAGGTTGTCCAGATATGAAATTCTAGGTTGGAAATTGTTTTCTTTAAGAATGTTGAATATTGGCCCTCAATCTCTTCTGGCTTGTAGGGTTTCTGCTGAGAGGTCCACTGTTAGTCTGATGGGCTTCCCTTTGAGGGTGACCTGGCCTTTCTCTGTGGCTGCCCTTAACAGTTTTTCTTTCATTTTGACCTTGGAGAATGTGGTGATTATGTGTCTTGGGAATGATCTTGTAGAGCATCTTACTGGGGTTCTCTGCATTTCGTAAATTTGAATGTTGGCCTGTTTTGCCAGGTTGGGGAAGTTATCCTGGATGATATCCTGAAGTATGTTTTACAACTTGGTTCCATTCTTCCTGTCTCTTTTAGGTACTCCAATCAGTCATAGATTCAGTCTCTTTACATGATCCCATATTTCTTGGAGGTTTTGTTCATTTCTTTTCATTCTTTTTTTTTTTTTTTTTTTTTTGAGATGGAGTGTCGCTCTGTCGCCCAGGCTGAAGTCTCGCTCTGTCGCCCAGGCTGAAATCTTGCTCTGTCACCCAGGCTGGAGTGCAGTGGCACAATCTCGGCTGACTGCAAGCTCTGCCTCCTGGGTTCCCGCCATTCTCCTGCCTCAGCCTCCCGAGTAGCTGGGACTACAGGTGCCTGCCACCATGCCTGGCTAATTTTTTTGTATTTTTAGTAGAGATGGGGTTTCATCGTGTTAGCCAGGATGTTCTCGATCTCCTGACCTTGTGATCCACCCACCTCGGCCTCCCAAAGTGCTGGGATTACAGGTGTGAGCCACAACGCCCGGCCTCTTTTCATTCTTTTTTGCCTATAGTTGTCTGCCTGTCTTATTTCAGAAAGATAGTCTTCAAGCTCTGAGGTTCTTTCCTCTGCTTGGTCTATTCTGCTATTAATACTTGTGATTGCATTGAAAAGTTCTTGTGTGTTTTTCAGATCTATCAGGTCAGTTCTTTTCCTATCTAAACTGGCATTTGGCTGTCAGCTCCTGCATTATTTATCATAATTCTTAGCTTCTTTGCATTGGGTTACAACGTGTTCCTTTAGCTCAGAAAAGTTCATTTTTGTCCACATTTCGAAGCCTACTTCTGTCATTTCAGCCTAGTTCTGAGCCCTTGCTGGAGAGGTATTGCAGTCATTTGGGGGAAAGGGGGCACTCTGGCTTTTTGAGTTTTCAAGTTTTTGAGTTGATTCTTTTGCGGCCTTATCATCTAGTTTTGATCTTTGAAGTTGCTGACCTTTGGATGGAGTTTTTTTTGTGTGTGTGTGTGTTTTGTTGTTGTTTTCTGTTTGTTTGCTTTTCTTTTAACAGTCTGGCCACTCTTCTGTAGGGCTGCTGTGGTTTGCTGGGGGTCCGCTCCAGACTGTAGTCACCTTGTCTTTTCCCATACCTGGAGGTATCACCAGCGAAGGCTGTGAAACAGCAAATATGGCAGCCTGCCACTTCCTCTGGAAGCTCTGTCCCAGGGGGGTACTGACCTGTTGCTGGCCCACACACCTGTAGGAGGTATCTGGAGACCTTGGGAGATCTCATCCAGTCAGGAGGAACTGGATTAGGGACCTGCCCAAAGAAGCAGTCTGGCTGCTTTTAGATAGAGCAAATGTGCTGTTTTCAGGGTCTGTTCAGCCCTTGATCAGTTTGGGTTCTCCAAGGCCCACAGGTTGGACTGGCTGAGGTGCTCAAACAGCTAAGGTAGTGGCCTGCCCTGCTTTCCGGGCACTCCATCCCAGGGAGAAATTAGACCTCTGGTGGCCATAGAACATGGGTGGAAGTGGCTGGAGGCCCTGATTGGGAGGACCTGCTCTGTGAGGAGGAGTCATCGGAGACCCACTCAAAGAAGCAGTCTGGCCACACCTTAACAAAACAGCTGTGTCATGCTGGGGAACTGCCTCTGCCTCTGTTGGCTTGGACTCTCCAAATCCTGCAGACTGGGAAGGCTGAGTCCTCCAAACAACCAAGGTAGCAGCCTGCTCCTCCTCCTGCACTCCTCCCAGGGAGAGATCAGAGCTCTGTCTATAGAATACAGGTGGGGCAGTGGCTGGAGGTCAGGGCTGGGAGGTCCTGCTCAGTGAGGAGAAATGAACCCGGGTCCCACTTAGAGAAGCAGTCTGGTCACGTTCTGGCAAAGTAGCTGTTCTGCTGAACTTGGTTTGCTAGTATTTTTTGTTGTTGTTTTGTTTTTTGGGGACAGGGTCTCACTCTGTCACCCAAGCTGGAGTGCAGTGGTATGATCATGGCTCACCCCAGGCTCAGGCAATCTTTCTCTCTCGGCCTCCTGAGTAGCTGGGACTACCGGCACACACCATCACACCCAGCTAATTTTTCTATTTTTTGTAAAGACGGTGTTTAGCCATGTTGCACAGGCTGGTCTCAAAATCCTGGGCTCAAGCAATCCTCCTGCCTTGGCCTCCCAAAGTGCTGGGATTACAGGCATGAGCTACTGTGCCTAGCCAGTTTGCTATTTTGTTGAGAATTTTTGCATTGCTGTTCGTCAAGGATGTTGGCCTGAAGTTTTCTTGTTTTGTTGTGTCTCTGCCAGATTTTGGTATCAGGATGATGCTGGCCTCATATAGTGAGTTAGGAAGGAGTGCCTCCTCCTCAGTTTTTTGAAATAGTTTCAATAGGAATGATACCAGCTCTTCCTTATACATCTGGTAGAATTTGGCTGTGAATCTATCTGGTCCTGGGCTTTTTCTGTTTTTTATTACTGTTTAGGTACCCTCCACCTGGATCCTCCAGATGTTTACATTTTGCATAGCTGAAGTACAGTTATCAAAATTCATTCAAATTGTCCTTAAAGAAAATAGTTTCTTTTTTAACTTAAGGAATAGCTCCATTCAGTTTCATATTAGGCTGTCTGCTAATTTTGTACTTTAGAGATCTCATGCCCACTTTCTAGCCTGTGTAAGACTGTTCTTTATCATATCTTCATAGTTATCTCTAAAAGTCCTAATCTCATCTCCCAAATTCTTCATTACAAGGAGCTAGAAAGACACTAAAAACATGAGAGGGTGGGTTCTGAATAATTTGCTTTTGAACTTAACTTAAGGTTTTGTTCTGGAGAACTCCCCTTAGAGCATAACACAGGGACAAAAAAATCAGTAAGGCACTTGTGTGACAAAATTGGCTCTAAACTTCAGAAATGAATGTTGACATCTCAGCTTTTTCGCAGTTCGAATTTTTAAAAATAGCTATTGCCCAGGGATGCTTAAGAGATTATTGCCCTTACTTTTTCATTTAAGAGCAAAAAAGTCCTTAGAATAATTTATATTCGAACTGCTTATTTTTGTTACTTTTGAGATGAATATGTAATGTTTAAATAGTGTTAGGTAGTGGTGCCCCCTAAACCCCCTGCAACTATAATATACTGTTATATATTTCATACATAAGCATTTCATTTTTATTTTAATATGATCCAGCCTAAATAAGCCTAGCGTTCTCAAGCAAAATATATAAAGTCTAATTGTAATTAACCTTGACTTGTGTTATGATTTGTAATTAACACAGGCCTTTCAATTACTCTAGTTGATTTTATGAATTCTGACATTTGTCTTGATAAAGTTCACACAGAGAGACATTCAGAAGTGGTATTGATGAAAAGATGGCATAAAATTTAGAAATTTTGGCAGGAAGTTATATAAATTCAATGTCATTCCTATTTATTTTTATGTATACAATTTAATCATTTGAAAATTTAATAGAATGTTTTTATATGAAGTTCACCATTATGTTCATCTTCCTTAGGGGATTAGTGAGATTAAGGGAATAATGTTAACTCAAAGCTAAGAAATTAAGCTGTGAAAGCCAAACAGTCAGGCTTCAAGGAGTTGCTGTAATGAAAGTTTATGAAAAAAAATTGAGATAAGAATTAGAAAGCTTCCACCTATAACTCATTTTTTTCTTTCTCTTTATTTTAAATAGGGAAAAAGGATCTTTGGTTAAAATGAACGTGTTTGGCTATCATAAAACACTATAGTCTCATACTGATTTTTCTATGGCCTTAAAAATATAATTTGTTCCCTATAGGTATAGTAACCAAGTATCTTTGATAAGGACACTTTCTTATAGTAGATTCCCAAGGTAAAATGTAAAACATGAAGATAAATTTACATCTACCACCGAGGAAAGCTAACCTCTATCTATTAAAAAAAGTCAGTGACAATGAAATTATGTTAAGAATATTTAAAATGTTGGTTGGGTAGAAGAAGAAAGGGGTAACAGAGAGAACTAATCTATATGTATCAGTTTGGATGAGTTTAGCTTAGTGACAGGAAGCCCTGACTCAGAATAACTTCAGCAATGAGGAAGATTTATTATCGAACACAACAGGAAGTCTGAATGTGGAACAGCCCCAGATTGATTCAGTTGCTCATTACTAGCAGACCCCTAAATTCTTTGCATTTTTCTGTTTTGCTATCCTAGACTTGTTGACTTAGTTTCCCCACATGGTTGCAAGATGGCTGCCACAGCTCTGGGAATCGTCATGGGCACAATGACATCCAGCACCAGAGGATATTTATCTTCAATTATCCTTTTTTTTTTTTCTGTTGATAAGAAGAGCCTTTCTTATATCTCCTACACAGTATCCAGAATTAAATTCCATGCCCACATCCGAACAAATCCTTGGCAGTAGGAACAGGAAATCAGGGCGTGGGAAGTGTGCCCCCCATCTCCTGAGCACCGGGATATATAGAAGAGGGGGGACATCCAAACAGCACAGGCACTCTTAGCAAGGGGGAAGAGAGAATGGATTTTGGGTTAGTAGTGTCCCTTCTATTATGGGTAACTTCATTTTTCTCATCTCTAACAAAACAAATATTTGGTATGAAGGAATTAGGAAGAACTATCAAATGAATTGGCCATATGGGCCTACAAGTTAATGTTCTCAAATGAACTCAGCTTAAAGACACTGATGGAAAGAAAGAAATTGGAACTGATTCAGTCAGTGATTTTTAAAAGTTCAGCTGTGCTCTGAGGCTGAAGCACATCAGTGCTATGACCCACAAAAGAGCGGTTAACCTTGTTCATCTCAAAATCTTTCTGTAGTTGTCTCTAGAAGATATTTTCTATTTTAAGCTGCAAAGCCTTCTGCAAAATATCTGGCCATGGAGTTTATGAAAAGGATTTAGAAAAAATGATGTGTTTGGTCTTATCTTAATAATACATACTATCCTGAGGCTCGTTTGAAGTTGGTAAATAGAAATATTTATTTCCAAAAGAGATTTTGGTGTACATACTTATATGAGAAATGTGGAAATTTTTAATACTTCTGAAGTGTAAAAATATAGCTCATTACTTATCAAAATATATTGAAGACAAGAAATGTGACTGATGCTTTTTACCCTTTACTTTGAAACTGTATTGCATGGCTTGGCCCATACTTCTTGTTCTTCCACTTAATATAACAATAACATAAATAATCTGATAGAACTCTTGACTTCACTGCCCACTCATGTATAATGAATTACATAATTTTGCTTAATTGCTTTTCCATCCCCACCAAACTCTAAGCTCTAATGATAGTTTCTGAATTTTTATATAGGATGGGCTTGGGACAGCAATCCATTTGAAGGGGAGGGGTGTGTACAGGCTTGAAGTTTTGTTTTCCCAATGCTAAAATAATTATGAAAAATCAAAATAATGCTAGAGAGGGTAGGTATGGGGTTAGTTGAGATTGGGGTTTAAAGCACCCCTCAAACTACACCTTAGCTTATGGTGAGCTCCTGAAAGGCAGAGTCTGTGTCAGCCTTCTTATCCCCAGTGCTAAGCAGTGTGATTCAGTTGTATTGTCTAAACACTTGCTGAATGACAGAATTATCAGAATCCATTCATATTTGCCAAAAGTAGACACTTAGTAACTTGCTACATGAAGAAATGAGTGCTAATCTTTGTTTTCCTAATTGTGAACTTCCTAAAAGAGTAATGACAGATTTTTTTTTTTCAACTTGAGAGACCCAATTGTGTAGACAGCCCCATTTCCCCCCTTTCTGGCATAAACTTCATGCAGGTTTTGTTTTGTTTTGTTTTGTTTTTTTTGAGATGGAGTCTTGCTTCATTGCCCAGACTGGAGCTCAGTGGCGCAATCTCTGCTCACTGCAACCTCAGCCTACCAAGTTCAAGCGATTCTCCTGCCTCAGCCTCCCGAGTAGCTTGGATTACAGGTGCATGTTACCATGCCAGGCTAATTTTTGTATTTTGAGTAGAGACGAGGTTTCACCATGTTGGCCAGGCTGGTCTCGAACTCCTGAGCTCAGGTGATCTACCCACCTGGCCTCCCAAACTGCTGGGATTACAGATACGAGCCACCACGCCTGGCCTTCTCTCTGAATTTGAGGCCATTGTTTTGCTATCTTCTAGCATTTAGTGCAACTGATATGTATATAAATATATATGGCCTGTCTTCGAAATTGTCTTTGGTCAAAGGAGCTACCTGTGAATTCAACTAAAGATCTGTCAGAGCTGACATAGTCGATGGAGACAAGAGTCTTCATAATGCAGGTTCAAAATCACAGGATAGAACAGGCAGTAGAGTTTGGTGGTTGTGAACATGACCTTTGGAGTCAGACAGACCTAGGTTTGGGCCTTAGTGTCCCTACTTCTTACTAACTATGTTACCTTAGGAAATTACTTAATCTCTAAGTCTCAATGTCCTCATGCATAAAATGTAGGAGATAATAGTATCTACATCATAATCGTTGTGACAATTCAATGGGAGTGCTCAATAAGCCTTTAGCACATAAAAAGCCCTCAGTAAAATGTAGCCATTATTCATTGTTACTGTTATAATTAATAATAAGAATACTTACATAAATATCTTGATTAGAATTTATGAAGCAGCCCACCTATACAAGAAGCACATTTCTTTTTAAATTCTAAAAATGCATACAAACATTGAAGTAAAAATTCAGGCAGTATGAATGTGAATAAAATAAAAATGAAAAGACTTTGTTGCCTTACAAACTTAACCTCACTTCCCAGAGGAAGCCACTAAAACGTGTTTTAAGATTAATTTTTATGCAAAGTCTGTGCCAACATTCATTGAGATCATTTGTCAACTTTAAACATCAAGAGTTTTTATGGCTAGTGTCAGTTGACTTCATGCCATAAAAATTGGTGAATGTCACCTGCTTATACATATCCATACCCATTTGGGCTATTATATTTTAGCTTTTCAATTGATTACTTTTGTAGCTTTTAATTATTTACATATTTCTTTGTCTGTCTTACCTATTTCTGTGTCAAACATTAGGCAAAAGCCTCTCTCCCCACTATACTCAGAGGAAATTAGCACTTCTATTCTTCTTTCCAATTCCCCTTCCCCTACAACCAACTCCCAACTATCATTAGCTATGTTATTACTTTTCTATTGTCAAGGTATGTCAGATTTATATTCTGTCTGGTAATTCTATTTATGTCTTCTCTCTTTTATAGGTTGATTCTGAAAATGGAAAATCAATAAAGAATTTTTATAATGTTATGATTATATAAATATTCTCTGCAGTACCAAATTGTATGATTGAACCTGTAGAGAAGATAAAATCTTAATGTGGCAAAGCTTGTGTCATTCAAAAAAAACCATTCTAAGTATAAAACCCAAGTAGATTTTAATTTTTAAAAATCGAATCAATTTTTGAAAATCATGCCACTGTTTCTTTGGTCAACAAATTTTTCTACATTTTTTTCTCCTGCTATTTCTAATTCTTTTTCTTTTCTTTCTTTTTTTTTTAACATGAGAAAGATATCATATCTTAAGGGTATCTAGCTGCTTAATCACAATATTTCTTTAATGTACGCTAACCATATTAGGTACATATGAGGGTACAGGGGAAATAAGCTTTCTCAGTTGTTTTATGTCTGAAAATATCTCTGTCTTCCCCCCACATTTGGTAGGATTCCTTAGTATTGGATTTCAGATTTAAAATTAATTCCTCCAAATTTGAGGCTGTTGCTGGCTATCTTCTAGTGTTGAGTGCAATAGAAAATGGATCTGATGCCACTGTGGTTCTCATTCCTGTGTAAGAAACCTGTTTTTTGTTGGCTTGTTTTACCCCAAGGAAGGCCTTTTGGAACTTTTGCTTGTCTTTGGAATTTTTAATTTCACAAGGATTTGTTCGTGTCTTCTGTGTGGTTCTCCCTGGGGCTCTCAGTATGACGACCGAGATCTTTCTTCAGTTCTGGGAGATATTCTTCAGTCATTTATTTGATTATTTCATCTCCATTTCTTTTTTTGGTCTTTCTTTTCAGAACTTTTATTTGATGAATGTGTGTTCTTGAGGATTTATCTCCTGTGTTTCAACTTTTCTTTCATATTTTTGATATCTTTTTGTTTTGATTATGTAATATGTATGTATTTATTAAACATATTTTTACTTTCCAAGAACACTTAGTTTTCTGTTTCCTTAGTTTTTTGGAGGGTGTGATATCATCTATCATCTCAAATATCACTGGGAATGTTAAGTAGTCTTCTTTCATATTGGGTAAATTGTTTTCCTTGCTCATGTTGGTCCTTTTCTTTTGGATTGTTGATGCTCCACAGACACTATTAATGCTTGATCGTTCAGATTTATGGATAAAGAGCAAAGCTGATCAGTATAGGTAGCTGATGTGAGTTTTCTTTATCACTGTGATGAGACACTGATTTAAAAAAAATATTAAATTAAAAAAAATTTTTAGAGACAAGGTTTTGCTCTGTTGCCAAGGCTGGAGTGCAGTGGTGCAATCATAGCTCACTGTAACTTCAAATGCCTGGGCTCAAGCATGCTCTTGTTTCAGCCTTCCAAGTAGTTGGGGCCACAGACATGTGCCACCATGCCTGACTAATTTTTATTTTACTTTATTGTGGAGATGGGGTCTCACTATATTGCCCAGGCTGGTCTCAGACTCCTGGCTTCCAGTTATCCTTCTGCCTCAACCTCCCAAAGTGTTGAGATTACATATATAAGCCACCATACCTGGCCTAAAAAAATCTTTCTAGAATTAAAAAATTAATATGAACCAAGATTAAAAAAACTAAAATTAAAAAGGGTATATAATAAAAAGTAAATTTTTGTCTTACGCAAAATTACCAGTTTCTCAGAAATCCAACTAAACCACTGTTACTAGTTTCCTTTGTCTTCTGGAATATCTCTAAGTAGATAAATATACATTTTCTTGTCTGTCTTCCTGCCTATCTATCTATAGCTATCTATCTGTCTGTCTATCTATCTATCTATCTATCTATCTATCCATCCATCCATCTAAGCACGTACACATTTTGCAAAAAGTGGTAACATACTGTATATATATTCTAATTTTTTTGTAAAACAGTTTATTTTGCTGAGTATTTTGTTTGTGGCTATAGTATTCTTTATCATGGTTGCAGAGTTTTACATTGAATGGATGTGCTAGAATTTATCGAACCATTCTCCTATTGGAGAGAAATTAGATCCCATCTAATCTTTTGTATTACAGACATTACTGCACCAAATATCCTTATATAAACTTGTTGGCATTTATTTGTACATACATTTAAAAGAGAAATATCTGGGTTACAGGGTATGCATATTTGAAGCATAGGTTAAAAAAACTGCAATTCGTATTTATTGACTTCTTGAATATGTAATGCACATTTATTGGACAAAAACCCTGAATGTACAAAAGAATACAGTAAAAATTAAATCTTTTTCAACTCTTCTTTGACTATTAGCCCCCTCTGCTGCTCTTCTCAGTCTCAACTATTGTTATTCTGTGTGTGAGTCTGTGTGTGTGTGTGTGTGTGTGTGTCTGTGTCTGTGTATTTCCTTTTTGGGTTAAATTCTTATAGCTGAGTGAAAGCCTTGGGAAGTGTTCCTTTTAAAAAGTGAGTACATATTTTCTGTGAAAGGTTTTCAAATTTGACTACTTTTAAATTGAGCTGTTTGAGCCCTCCCAGAAGTGTGCCATGAGAGGGGTCCTGAGAGTTCCACCTATGCCTCCTTCATTCACTGCAGCTGACCGAGCCCCACATTCCATCTGGACACACTTTATCCTTACCAATATCAGAACAGAGCAGATACTTATGGCTTTATAATCTCTACTTCTTCCTTCTAGTGTTGGAATCCATGGCAAATGACAATAATAAAGAAACAACGCTTGGCTTTTTTGGTCCTCTCTTCAGCATTATAGAAGGTAAATAGTGCAGTTAGATTTTTGCATGACAACATAAAGAGGCCAATGTTTGATGTAGGACAGCTTTCTGTGCAGAACATTGTAATTGCTGAAATGCTGTTTGTCTTCCTACCTTTTCATTACTATCATTTTTGTTCAGTTCCAGTGCCTTTTACAAGCTTTCATTTCTCCGTCTTCAAATAGTCTTGGTATATCAAGTTTATAATAACACTGATCTACAGAGAGGCATATGCCCCTTATTATAGCTCTAAAAGAGAATGATATCACCAAGGAAGCATAGCTTTTGCACTGAAATCCTCAAAGATGGGTAGTTTATTTTATTAATTTTCATTGTGAGTTTTGGTGAACAATGTGGAGGTTTACATTAGTAAATAAAGCATGACTGGTTAGTAAAATGTTAATGGGGTTTCAAAATCAGAAGATCTGGGACTGAAAACCATCTGTATTTGTGCAAAAGAGTTGAAAGAGATTTAGTTTTTACTGTATGATGTGTGTGACCTTGGGAAAGTCAAAATAATATCCTTGGGTGTCAATTTCCTAATTTGCAAATGTTCACAGGATTGTTGTATGGATTAAAGAGCTAATATAAGCAAAGCACTTTGTCAAGTGCTATGAAGTGTTATGTAAAATTATAATCATAATGTTAAAGTAAGAAATGGGCAGGCTTATTCAACTCAACAGGAATAATTTTCCTTAAAGCTTCCAACATTGTACATCATACTGGAGTTCTAGCTTCAGAAATGTTGTGTTTTTATAATTCAATAAGTGGAAAATAAGAAAAGCCATACTCTTTTTTTTTGGATGGGGTATCTCAGTGATTCAGATTCTTCTTGGTCTTAATAAATGTTGCAAGCAGCCCATTAGGATTAGAGCATATGGTAGTGTATTAGTCTGTTCTCATGCTGCTAATAAAGACATACTGGAGACTGGGCAATTTATAAAGGAAAGAGGTTTAATGGACTCACAGTTCCACATGGCTGGGGAGGCCTCACATGGTGGAAGGCAAAGGAGAAGCAAAGGCACATCTTACATGGTGGTAGGCATGAGAGCTTGTGTAGGGGAACTTCCCTTTGTAAAACCGTTAGATCTTGTGAGACTTAATCACTATCATGAGAACAGCATGAGAAAGACCTGTCCTCATGATTCAGTTACCTCTCACCAGGTCCCTCCCATGACACATGGGAATTATAGGAGCTAGAATTCAAAATGAAATTTAGGTGGGGACACAGCCAAACCATATCAGGTAGGTATACAGGTATAGAGGGAGACAAGGCCAGAAGGACTTATGAAGCCAAACTGGAAAGGCCTGGAATGCCAACCCAAAGGAGTATGGGTCTTAATTGTTGGGTACTGCAGATCTATGGGGCCGTCACTTTGGGAGAGTGTTGTACCATATAGAAAGAGGACAGCAGATGTGACGAGATGATAAAAAGTCCTTCAGAGGCAAAGGATCCACAAACATATCCATCTGGAAGTATAGTTCTCCCTCAGTATCCACGGGGGATTGGTTCTAGGACCCCTGCAGACTCCAAAATCCACAGTTGTACAAGTCCCTTGCATAAAATGGCATAGTATTTGCATATAACCTACCAACATTCTCTCATATACTTCAAATCATCTCTAAATTACGTATAATACCTAATACAATGTAAATACTATGTACATAGATGTTATACTGTAGTTTAAAATGGGTATTATTTTTAATTTAAAAAAATTATTATGTTTGATCCATGGTTGGTTGGATCTGTAGGTTCTGCATCTTGGGTACAGAGGGCCGATGATAGCTATGAAAGCTGGAGACTGTTTGGTGTGTTGCCCAGGTGGAGGCATGGGTCTCCCAAAGTTCATACGAAGAGCACTTTGGATTCTCCTGGCTGAATTCTCACTCACAGAAGTAGATTCAACAGCAGCAGTGTCTACTTCTGTGGGTGAGAATTCGGCCAGGAGGTAGAAGCTTACCCTTGCATTCTCAGGGGATTTTATAGCCTCCTGGCCACCTGCCTGACTGTTCAGAAGACTCTGGCTCTAGCCCCACCTGCTTACCAGGTGCAAGAAACTATTGCAAAACAAGCTCAGCACATCCCTGAGTCTTTAATGGAGACACTGGGTGATGGAGTGAGGTACCTCAGCAGACTCAGGCTGTAGGTCTCTAAGTCTATTCCTGCAGGGTGCAAGAAAGGTTTGTAAGAAGGAAGACACACAATCACAGAGCACAATGAACTGATTGAGGAAGAGGCTGGGAGCAGGGAGATTGCTGAGGACCACTGCCATGGGCTAGGCATGGAGCAGCAATGTCTTAAGTTGGAAGGTGGTAGTGGACATAGGAAGGCACAGGCAGATGGCAGAAAGAGTGTGAGAGCGAAGACCCAGTATTATCTGTAAAGGAGAAACTAGAGGGAGGAGTCAAGGATTGTGTCAGGATTTCCCACTTTAATGAGTGGGAGAATGAAAACATTATTATACAGTAATGGAAAATTGAGGGCAGTTGGACACACAGAAGTAAAGTTCGTAGGGTATGCAGAGTTAGGGAGATAGGAAACTGATTTGCAAGGTTTCCATTTAGAAGCCATAAGAAAAGTCTTGGTGGTAGAAAGTTTTCACGTTATACTACAGCGAAATAAACACTTTACTTTCATGGAAAAGTTTATTTAAATGATCCAAGATACAATCTGAGAGAGGAAGTTCAGCAACCTGTGCTGGCTTGGCCAGTTCCCTTGCCTTCCTGTAGTCCCATGGCAAGGATACATCAGAGCACTCAACAATACCGTTGAATATGTCAGTGGAGCTGCCCTGGCTGGCAGACCTGGAAAGCAGCAATTTGCATTAGGTGGAACTCATCAATTTTGAGTGGTCACTTAGCCACCATCTACACCAGTGGTGCTCAACTTTGCTGCATGTTAAGAGTCACCCGAGGGGCTTTTAAAAAATCCTGAGGCTGGGATATAGCTCAGACCAATTAAAACCCAACCCCCTTCCCAGATGATTTTATTGTGCATCCAAGGATCAGAAACACTGCCACATCTCTTCCTTTGCAGGCAAAGTACAGTTGATGCTTATCTTAAACAACATTGTCCTCTGAAAAGTTTCCCCTGTGGAGTTCATTTTCCAAGGGAAGAAGACAAACAGGAAAACACCATGTCATGGAAACCAAGAGAGGGGACTTTTAGGAGTGTCAGTCACTGATGTGAAATGCTATGGCAATTTGGGGATGGTAAGGACTGAGAAGGAGCCAGAGAGGGTTGCAGTGGGTTTCAGTATGGGGGTGTGATTGGAAGCTGGACTCCAAAGCAAGTAAGGAGTAGGACTCTGAGGACACGGAGGTAGCAAGGGTAGGCAGCGGCAACGGACAGGTTGACCACGGGCCTCAGAGATGTGCTTTGATTGAGGTCCACAGAGTGTTCAAAGATTTTTAAAAAATTAGTTATCAACATTTACAAATTGGGAGGTTTTATGTAAAACATAATTTCTGATTTCTCTTGAAAAACTGGGAGATCTGACAACACTAGGACTTTGTACCCTCTTGGCACCAGAGGGAATTAGTTGTCCACCTTAGGAATGACATCCTTTCTCCCCACTCATCACACAGTCTCCATGCCCGGAAGTTATCCTTTAAACCCAGTTCACTTCTCTCACTTGCATGACCTCCCTGGCCTCGGTAGGCAAATGAATTTGGGACTTGGACTTGATCCAAATAGCTGTTAGGTGGTTTGTCAGAAAGGGAAAGGAGAAGTCCTGATCACCTTTGTAGGATGGCAGGGAATAGGCAGAGTGGAAGATGGAATAAAAGAAAAGCTTCTCAAGGTTAGTCTGGAACAGGAAGGACCCACAACTGGGGAAGGAGAAGAGAATGTATGAAGACATAAAGAGATTTTGGGGAGGAGAGAATGGAAAATGAAAGCCTGTTAGTGGCAGTAAAATGAGCTAATCACTGCAAGTTAGGTGGGAGACAGCACTGAGGTCTGAGCAATATGAAAAAGAGTTGGAACAATCAGAATAGGAACTAATGAAAAGAAAAACATGGGGGCAGTTGGTGGAGGTGGAAGGAACTGAGTACTGAAGAGTACTGAGTACCTAAGGATTTCAGATGACTTATTTAGAAGCAGATTTTTCTTGTTTATTTGGAGACAACAATTTTAAAGTAGAAAATTTTCTAGCTTTTGTAGTCATGTTATTTTAAAACCAATCTTTTTCAAATATATAATCTCAAGGGCATTAAGGAATAAATCCCATATAAACAATTCGTACTATAATGAAGCTTAATTATCATTCAATTGTATGTTGCAAAGTTTTCTGTTTCATTGTTTTTCCAATGGTAGTACAGTTTTTATTAAATCATGCAAAGGAATGGTTTAAAAACACTTGTGCCGAAGTATTCAAATGTTGTGGCTCAATGCCAGTATTTGTATTTGACTGACCCCTTTCAGATAAGAGAAAAGCAATTTGTTTTTATTGAATGGAACAAATGTTTGTTTCTTAGATAATTTTTTTATTGTTGTTTTTCAGGTCTGCTTATTTTTTGGTATGGAAGGCATTATATATAGCCAAAATGGTGTTGCATCAAAATTATCCTTCATCAATTTGTTTTACATCACTTATTTTTAATTGATGCTGGCAGCGCCCAGGTTCCTCCTGGGTAAATTTGTTTTGCTGATTTAAGTATTTGGAGATTGTTACATGGAGTCTGGAGAGCACTACAAATTCTAAGTCTGTAGTCGAGGAGGCTATGGTTTATAGAAAAACAGGACAGTCAAAAATTATATTGTTTTATCAAAGACTTTATAAGTTAGGGAGAAAATTGACTTTCATAGTACAAGTTTACATACCTATTTTTTTCTTCCCCTCAGAATGGTGTTACAGACTGTACCATTTAACTTGCTTCATAAGGAGAGAGATTTTTCTATGATTTACAAGGCAGTCTCATAAAAAGTTAACTAAATTACATAGTTTAAGGGATGTTGGGTTTGGGGATTTTGAGGGGCCAGTTAGTCCATTCCATCTTTCCTCTGAGTTCTGTGTCTATTGACACAGGAAATAGACACTGAGACTAGAACACAGAAATAGACATAGGAATTTTATGATGACTAAAACTGAAGAATGTGGCTTTGATATGGGGCCAAAATGGGCTTCCTATTCCCCTTCTCCATAAGTTTAATTGGTGGGATCCTCGTGGGAGATGTGTTGGTCCTGCAGAGTGATATTCCTCTCGCCATCTTCTTGAAGGACTATGGCCTGACCTACACCCATTGTGCTCAGAGAACCTAAGTGAGAGGCCATTTGTGGATAACAATCATGAGCCCCCTAATTCACCCAACAGAGAAAACTGGAACAATGGATGTCAGACTCTCAGCACAACACAGAAAAATTGCTACTCCTGTGAGAAGGAGGATCCAGGTAGTCACAGTGTCCATGTAATCTTTCTGTTAGAGCAGAAGTTCTTAGCTTCTGAGCCAGCAGCAATGTAAGAATGTGAAAGGAAGTTTCCCCTTACATTCTAGGAAACTCAACTACTTACTTCCAAACTAAGTGCCACACTGCACAAAGTTTTACATTTAGACATGAATACCTTTGGGCTAAATATTCCCATTTTTATCCTTGTGATCCATTTAACATGAATTAATGGAGAGAAGGGCAGTCACAGATAGAGTGAGAATCACCATACTGTGCTATTGTGAGTAGTGCCACAATAAACATACGTGTGCATGTGTCTTTATATCAGCATGATTTATATTCCTTTGGGCATATACCCAGTAATGGGAAGGCTGGGTCAAATGGTATTTCTAGTTCTAGATCCTTGAGGAATCACCACCCTGTCTTCCACATAGCAAAGACTTGGAACCAACCCAAATGTCCAACAGTGATAGACTGGATTAAGAAAATGTGGCACATATACACCATGGAATACTATGCAGCCATAAAAAAGGATGAGTTCATGTCCTTTGTAGGGACATGGATGAAGCTGGAAACCATCATTCTCAGCAAACTGTCACAGGGAAAAAAAACCAAACACCGCATGTTCTCACTCATGGGTGGGAATTGAACAATGAGAACACATGGACACAGGAAGGGGAACATCACACACTGGGGCCTGTTGTGGGGTGGGGGGAGGTGGGAGGGATAGCATTAGGAGATATACCTAATGTAAATGACGAGTTAATGGGTGCAGCACACCAACATGGCACATGTATATATATGTAACAAACCTGCACGTTGTGCACATGTACCCTAGAACTTAAAGTATAATAATAAAATATATATATATAAAGAAACTTGGCAAAAAAAAAAAAAGAATCACCATACTGTGTGTTTATTAGCTTTTTCACATGTTGGGAGAAGATAATGTAGCAGGAGATATAGATTGTTCGCCCTTTTCTTTCCTTCCTGTTTCCCACTCTTCTACTTCTCTTCTGGCTGTAATGCTGAGGCAGGTAGCAAATCCGCTACCTTCTGGGTCCTCTAGCCCTAATTCAAAGCTCATTTCTGTGACCTAGTTATTGGGTCTTGTTATGGTGAGGCTTTTGATTCTTGCCCTGATTGAATAGTTGCCCATGATTTAAAAAAAGAGGCAAAGGCACTGAAAAAAAAAAAAAACTGTGATGAAAAGGCCATTTTATAAACTTACCTGTTGCCAACATTTTATTTAATGAAACATGATCTGGTGGCTACACAAAGCACTTATTAATGATAATCAGCCAAACTCAGACTTATCCTGTGTTTCCTAGCTGGTCTCCTGGCCCCCTTCAAATCTTCTTCCACAGTCCACCAGGAAA
The DNA here is from genome assembly GCF_000001405.40 of Homo sapiens. NCBI lineage: Eukaryota > Metazoa > Chordata > Mammalia > Primates > Hominidae > Homo > Homo sapiens. Next base: position 104,641,375 of record NC_000006.12, on the reverse strand, counting down.
AGCTACCAAATGATATGGAAAAACTATCATAAAGTTCAGAATAGTGGTTACTTTGGGGTAGGTGAGTGAGTGTGGGCAGTTGTAGAATTTGGGGAAGTCTTATGGGGACATCAGAGGCACTGGTAGATTTTTTAAAGTTGGGTGGTGTATTAGGCTGTTCTTGGGTTGCTATGAAGAAATACCTGAGACTGGGTAATTTATAAAGAAAAGAGGCTTAACTGATTCGTGGTTCTGCAGGCTGTCTAGGAAACATGGCTTCTGGTAAGGCTTCAGGAAGCTTTTACTTATGGCAGAAGGTGCGTTGGGAGCTTCTATGTCACATGGCGAAATCAGGAGCAAGAGAGGGTGGGAGGGGAGGTGCTGCACACCTTTAAATGACCAGATCTTGTGTGAACTCAGAGCGAGAGCTTTACTTGCACCAAGGGGATGGCCCAAGCCATTCATGAGGAATCTGTTCCCATGATCCAAATCCCTCCCACCAGGCCCCACCTCCAACGTTGGAGATTAAAATTCAGTATGAGATCTGGAGGGGAGAAACGTCCAAACTCTATCAGATAGTAAGTATACACATTCATTTTACTGGTACTTTTCTACATTTCACAAATATTATTTATATCTTTTACACATATTTTAAAATAAAAAATATTTTATAATTTAAAATTATGAAAATGATTTTAGAAATAATCCAGATTGCTTTTCTTCTTGGCTCTCTGAAGCCTCTGTTCACCAGCCTCTAGAAGTATGAATTTAAAAACTTCCTTATTAATCCACATATGCCTAGCATATGAGGCTCTACCCGTCAGTACTCTGGTTGCAAGTGACAGAAATCCAACTCAAATTATTTGAGCTCTCCGCCAACTCAAAGAAAAAAAGAAAAAAAGGAGAAATTGTTGACTTACATAACAAAGAAGGACAGGTGTGCAGTTAATTTTGGGTCTGGCCACACTCAGGAACTCAACAACGTTAGTTCTCTCTTTTTTTTCTCTCAGCTATGTTTCTCTTTGCATGCTGGCTTTGATTTCTCTTACTACAGATAACTTAATCCATCTGGCCAGGCAAGATAGTCACATGCAGCTCCAGCTCACATTGTTCTTATAACTCGGGGTCGTAGAAGTAAATAAAGGATCTTTCCTGATAGCCAGGGCTAGCAACATAAGTTGTGGGGTCCCATGTTCAAAAAGCAGGAAAAAAGTGTACTAAATATACTAAACTGGAAAGTTTTTTCTTTTCTCCTGTATTCTTTTAGTTTGTCATGGTGTTTAAAAAATTTCCCATTGAATATCTATGTAAAGAAAAATTAAAAATTTAAATTATGAACATGAATCTTACCATTTATATTGTGTGGTGCCAGTTTCCAATGCAAATATAAGAGCCTTTAATTCATATATGGAATCACTGAAGTTACACAATTTATATTTGGCATATGTATTTTGTTCTTACTAGAACAGTGGAAATGATTGCAAAACTAACTTAACTGTTTATGTTTCACTTCCTGATGCACTTACAGCTACCAGTGCTCTTCAGCTTACTGATGAGTAAGGAAGGACTGAAAGGGAAAGGAACTATGGGTGGCCCTATCTTTCTCTCTTCTGCTATGCCATGATTTTCAGTGAGCTTGTCTAATAAAGAGAAGTAACACAAGTGAGAAAAGGATATGATAAAGTTATTTGTAGTTGTTTCTTAAAACACCATTGCTTGTCTTCTGCATTGGAAGCAAGTTCTGGTTTGAATGGAAGACATGACCCTCTTGGGGCTGTCAGCACCACCATTTATTCAGTTTTAAATATAACATATTTATTTGCACTCACTTCACGTCTTGTGGTACTTCCATGCAAAGTGAGTCTACTGGACTGCTGTGCTCACAGGGTGTCATAAATGCTATATTGCAAGTGAGGTGTGTATTTCTTTGCTCATGTGCATTCCCTATTGTCCCATTGGACATCACTTACAAAACATAAGATCCAAGCTGAAATTATTGAGAATTTCAAAATGGCATCAGCTGAGCAGTGAACCAAGTGCAAGACTCTTGTAAGCACAGGGGCTTTGCAACTAACAGGTCACATGCATGAAGCTGGACCAGCTGATAATCCTGATGGGGATTCTGATTGTCCCAGTTTGGGTCATGCGTCTATGCGTGATCCTTTTATTTGATCTAAGTGTATATGGAGCACTCAGATTGGCCAGGCCTGGCTCACTTGCCCACAGCTGGAGCTGAAAGCAGGGTGTTATCAGCCTCCTCAACTAGGAGGAGTAGGGGAGTGCTTCCTCAAAAAAATTAACAATGGGCAGACAACATATGTTTACTGTCAGGGGCCTTACATCTGCCCCTTCCTGCCCTTCACTTTCATTTCCTGCCAGTATTTTAATCCTCAAACATTTCACATGATTGTTTCTAGGACTCTTTTTTGATTGTTCCTAAGATAACCGGGTTCTTGTATGACTGTGCTGTTGTACATGCTGTTCCTTCTTGGAACGTATTTCCTCATCTCCTGGAAGACTAACAATTCTTTGGCACTCAGTTCAAATTCAGTTCATCCCTGGGGTCTTCTCTGACTTCCTCAGGCATAATAGTTACTCAGATCTTAAATACTTACAGTTTTTTAATTTGTTTTTTTTTGAGTCACAGCAATTTATTGCTTCTATTTCAAAGTATCTGTTTTCTTGTCTACTCCCTGGACCACCCCCCACTCCCACCACCACTGGTCTCTGGGCTCCTTGAGAGCGGGAACTGCGTCTTATCCTTTTTAAAAATCAATGCCCAGGGTAAAGCAAATGCCTGTTACATAACAGGTACATGTCTGTTGAATAAAGAAATGAAAGGGTGTCATCAAATAGTGTTTTCAAGTTACTGTCTCTAACATTAATCCTGTATCCTAGATGAATCACATATTTAGAATATCATTGGGAGCATCAGATAATTTTCAGATTCTTCTTTCTCAAGCACTGGGCTGTCTTCTGATTAAACTGAAGTATTTCTTGGTTAAAACTCTGAGAGGAAACTAGTTAAATGTACAACTCAGAAAAGTAATTTTTGAATTCAAATAAATCTCCAAGAGTCTATTTCCTAAGATGAAGCATACTGTCTAAGGGTTGGTCCTTGGATACTAGATGAGACGTCAAGATGCGTACTCTCTGCAGACAGGCAGAGGAGGTTGTTTCCCACCTTGCCCACTAAGCAGATCAGCCTGGGCTTTCGGGAACTCAGCAGCTACACTGTCATGAATATGAGACCCGCCATATATCACTTTTTGTCTTGATGTTCTTTCTCATATAATATGCTTTTTTTTTGTATTAGTGCCATCTAGGGGGTGTGAGAAAACACATATGAACCTGTGTTTTCCTTGAGACCCTCTTTCCAGACACTGCATGGTTAGAAGCTCCAGTCCAGCACATGCCAACATGAAAGAACTGCTGCTCAAAATTCTGCCTTTGGAAAATGTTCTGCAGGGAAGGAGCAGCCATTGGAACTGTGGGGGCAATTTTCCTTATGTGAGAAACGGGGTTAAACTGAGAGTTTGGAAGATCTTCTGAAACTGACTATATAACTCCTGGGTTCTAATAGAAAGGATTAAAAAAATGGATCTAAGTTATGCAAGAAGAAAGAGGCAAAAAACAGAATGACATAATAAAAATCAACTGATTAGCCATAAGATAATGGTATATGTGTGAATTAGGCTGAAGAGTGAAAACATCAAAAAGAAATATGACAATTCAGAATTGAGGAAGGGAAGAAAAAATCTTTATTGTCACAGTATCTGTTCTGCTTAGCAAAATCTTGATCTATTTCTTTCTACTGTACTTTAGGTTTAATCTGTAAATCTTGGCTGCTTTCTGAGGAAATGAAACATACAGATCATTTTATACAGTTCTACTTAAAATATTGTTTTATCTGGATAAATCACACTACTAGCCATTATTTGCAGTTTGACATCACATTAAAGTGCAGAAAAAGCTCCACATTTTGAACTTATTTTTCAGTGCATCATAATGGTAAAAACAAGCTGATAAACCCTTAAATATAAACTAAACTAAATGGAGTTTATAATTAAAAGACTGCCGGAATTTTAAAAACATAAAAATCAAGCTGGTCTTGTCTCTGCTCCCATATCTCTAGTCCTGAATACTTTTTTTTTTGCTAGTTTATTGATTCATAAACTGTTCACTATCCATCATACCTATAGGAAAACTGTAAACCATGATTAATGCACCCTGTAAACATTCTATTTGATTGGTCAGGATGCTGTACCCTCATAGAAAAATTAATCACTTAAATCAATATCAAATTGAGATCTATGGTTAGGATATTTTAAAAGCCGCTGCCTCTAATCATTATTTGGTGATTTTTCTAGTCCTGAAAGAAGATGAATGTTGTATCAGCTAATGACATCTGATTCAGGGCATCTTGTAAATAGCCCCAAGGAGAGAAAGTCCACTAAAGGATGTTGTTTTAAAGGGAAAGGAATGAATATGACAAAAAAACATTCAGAGGTGCCAAAAAAAATTGGTCGTAAGTTGATAGTAATGAATGTAAGTTTTCGTCTTACATGGCAACAATATAATCTATCACCTTCCAGACCCTTCTCAGATGAAAAGCCTAATTGGCCTTGGAGGTAACTTCCACTAAATGTAGTGTCAGAATAACAGGTGGTTAGAAATGTGTTAAATAGTACACTACTTAAATTGGTGCCCATACATTTTCAAAATTTTAAAACTTACTATTAAATAAATGATTGCATACATTTGAATAAAACCATGGCTTTTTTTTTTTTTAGATAGAATTTTGCTCTGTTGCCTAGCAGTGATCTCGGTTCACTGCAACCTCTGCCTCCTGTGTTTAAGCAATTCTCCGGCCTCATTCTCCCAAGTGGCTGGGACTACAGGCATGTGCCACCATGTCCGACTAATTTTGGTATAGTAGAGATGGGGCTTCGCCATATTGGTCAGGCTGGTATCGAAGTCCCAAACTTAAGTGATCCGTCTGCCTCAGCCTTCCAAAGTGCTGGGATTACAGGCATGAGCCACCGTGCCTGGCCTTTTTTTTTTCCTTTTTTGTAAAATGGAGACACCCTAAATTCAAATACAATAAAAAACTCTCCATTCCTGACTTTGTGCTGTTCTGTATTCTTAAGTCTCCATTGACTTAAGTTGGTAATTAAAGTAAAACTCACTTTTTAACCTTTTGATACTTTATACAATAAAAAGAGAATTCTTGGGTGAAAAAAAGTTGAGTTGAACCACTGAACACTCAAAGGCTTTGTGTATCCATGTGAATGTTGAGTACATACAATCAAGTAAATATTACAACTTTGTCCTACTATGATTAAATGTAGCATATACATGAACACCAGGCATGAACAAACATTTTTTACTTTCAAGTTTGGCCATCATTTAGCCTGGTCTTTATGTTTTGGAATTCTGTATTTCAAGTCATTCCTTCATTTATACAATAACACGTGAGTCCCTGCTGTGTATAAGACTATTCTTTTTCTAGAAAATACGTTTCAGAGGAGGATGAATTACCTAATTCCACTTGATTCTGAATGCAGAATACTGGTTCCCAGGTATATTGATACTAACAGGAAAAAGGATTCTGTGCTGTACTGATTTTGCAAAAATACCTGGTAAAAGCTAAGGTAAGGTAAACGTGTTTCTCTAACATATCATTTCTTAGAGCCTACAGTATGACTGGGGTACATTTTGACTCTCTGAGAAGGAGATATGGTACTTAGCATTGCCATAAGTGTTTTGAACATATGAAACTCTGCACAATGGAATCCTTGACCGTAGGATGGAGGAATGTATTACCCAAAACCAATTTTCCTATTTGTGAAGGTCACTGTCTCCCTCAGAGGAGGGTAAAACCTGAATTATGAGTGAGGAAAGGGACATCTGCCTATTAAGCCAGCACCCCTAGCCTGGACCCCAAAGTGTTTTCCCTATTCATAGGATGATACACATGGATGATACAGACAGGTATTCTGAATAGCACAAAGTCAGGAATGGAAGAGGCTGGGTGAGGTGGAAGGGGACCCTTCCTCCATGTTACAGTTTGCGCTGTCCTTTCAGTTTCATAGAATTTATTCTGTAGTATTTACATTGTATCAATTTTTTATATTGACCTATCAACTGATGATTAATGCATAAAAGAAGGAATGGTGAGGGCAAACCAGGGCCTGATCCTAATGGAGAAGCTGATGGCCAATTTCTTTGGTCTGAGGAGGTTGAAGAGCTGCCCCCAGAACAGTCTTCTCTTCATTCTGTGGGACTTCCATGTACCATCTACTCAGGGCTCCCTCGGCCAACCATATCACTCAGAAATACTTTGAACTGCTTTTCATTCATTGCTACGCATTTTTGTATCCCTTGCTAAGACCTCAAATGTTTTCCTATGTTTCTCCAGTATTATTTCTACCTCCAGTGACACTATTTGTGGCAGTGATTTGTGTGATAGGATTATTTTTAGGTACATCTCCCATGTTGGCCCCCAAAAGTGGCCCACCAAGGGCAGTGGTGGGAGCTGTTGGCCTCCGGTACAGTCAGTTAGCGGGTGCATTGTCTGCAGAAAATTTAAAAACAATAATAAAACCAGGTTGGTCTGCTTTTTATTGTCATCATGCTCCAGTGATTCTAAACAATGCCAGTATAAAAATATTCCTACCTTCAGGGGCAGATGCCCCCTCCCCACAAATGGCTCTCTATTAGAAACTTGCGTTGGAGAAATTCAGCATACTTTATTTTTGCATTTTATGCTTTCCCTTTCTAACCTATGTTAAGGACAATTTAGTTTCTCTTACTTGGTAAAATGGAATTATTTAAAATTAGGAATCTTAGCCACGCAAATCTAAACCCAGTTCGTCATTGTGTTGCGTCTCTCCTTGATTACTTTTCTGAAGGAAAAAGAACTGATGTAATAAAAAGCACTAGGCTTGAACTTCATTAAAGCTTACGCTTTGTTGTTGTTGTAGTTGTTGTTCAGAGAGGCAGGGCTGGCACAGTGGCTCAGGTCTGTAATCCTAACACTTTGGGAGGCTGAGGTAGGAGGATTGCTTGAGCCAAGAGTTCGAGACCCGCCTGAGCACCATGGCAATACTGTCTCTACAAAAAATTAAAAAATTAAAAATAAAAAAAATTAGCTTTGTGTGGTTGTGTGAACCTGTAGTTCCAGCTGCTTGGGAGGCTGAAGTGGGAGGATCACTTGAGCCTGGGAGTTCGAGGCTGCAGTGAGCTGTGATTGTGCCATTGCACTCCAGCTGGATGACACAGTGAAACTCCATCTCATATAAATTAATTAATTAAATAAATAAAATAAAAGAGGCAGCATTATATAGTAGGATTTACTCTCGAATGCAAAGACCTTACTGACCTAGGGTGTGGCATTAGATCTCTGGGTCTTAGTTTCCCTCTTTTAAAGTTAGGCTGAAGTACTTAAAGGTTTTCAGAGAAGGAAATAGCCAGATTCTTTAACAACATGGTCAATCCAACTGATTATGCCAATTAAGGTAATTTAAAAAAATCTAGGTTGAAGGAATAATTGATTATATAGCCATTACAGCCTTATCCATTTTCAGAAAAATAAATACGTAAGGCCTACCAATTCTCACATACTAAACTCTTGGCATTTGAAGATGGTCTGTCAGATTTCTTAAACTCTTAAATGGGAAGTGATATGGTTTGGCTGTGTCCCCATCCAAATCTCATTTTGAATTGTAGTTCTCATAATTCCCACCTGTTATGGGAGGGACCTGGTGGGAGGTAATTTAATCATGGAGGCGTTACCCTCATGCTGTTCTCATTATAGTGAGTGAGTTCTCATGAGATCTGATAGTGTTATAAGGGGCTTTCCCCCCTTTGCTCGGCACTTCACCTTTCTGCTGCCAAGTGAAGAAGGACATGTTGGCTTCCCCTTCTGCCATGATTGTAAGTTTCCTGAGGCTTCCCCAGCCATGCTGAACTGTGAGTCAATTAAACCTCTTTCCTCTATAAATTACCCAGTCTCCAGCATGTCTTTATTAGCAGTATGAGAAGGGACTAATACAGGAAGAGAAGGAATTCCTTTATGACTCAGAAATTCTCTTGTAGACTTTAGGAGGTAAAAGCCCTCAGAAAGGCATGTTGTTGGCAGATGGCAGATGCATTATAATCAGGCTGAAATTGGGTCGCCATAAAGATTTTGTTACTCTTGCTGCCTCCGTGTTTTGCCTCGTTGTTTTCTTTAAAGTTTCTCCCAGATCACTTCTCTATTTTGGAACCCTCCAGAGTACACAAAAGTATTCAGAATCCATGGTGGACATCACTGAATCTTTCTAGTTTTTGCCTGGGGAATGGAAGCTTTAGACATGGTTCCCAAGGATCCATGAATGGCAGCTGCTTTTTTTCAGTGATTGAAAAGACTGATTTTTATTCATTCATTAAAAAGGAAATTGCTTGCTTAGTCTGTGCCAACACCACTGTAGGGGCTGCAATACAACAGGGAGCAAGTTCTCTGCCTTTGAGGAACTTGCCTTCTCCTTATGGGATGGGTGTAGCAAAAAAAAACAGATGGAATCAAGATGTGCAAAGGTAGTTTTTAGATTCATTTAGAGTCCTTACACAATAAACCACACCCCGCCTCCCCGTCCAAACATTGAGCATAGCAATATAAAAGTAATGTAGTTTTAGGGGTCAAAGTCCCTACAAACATTTCCAGATGTCAGTTGGACCTTATATTTTGACTTAAACTGAGCAGCCTCTCTGCCTACCTTTCAGGTCAGGCCAGTCCAAATTCCCTAGGCCTAGCCTTCATCACTTTCCCTAAGTCAATATGGTCAGAAGCTTTGTTTCTTGTTCTATATCAGTGCTTCCCAAACTTGGCTATGCCTCAGAATTACATATAAAGTCACTTAAGGTACCACTTTTAAAAATATGTATTATAAATATATATGTGTTACGTATTTAAATAATATACATATTATTAATTTCTTAGGCATGTGAATTGGAATTTCTAGGGATGAGGGACCTGGGATCTGTATTAGCCACAGTGCTCCAGGTGATTCTGATTAAGCCAGCTGGCTTTCTTTTTCTTTTTGTTTCTTTTCTTTTCTTTTTTTTTGAGATGGAGTCTCACTGTGTCGTCAGGCTGGAGTACAGTGGCACAGTCTTGGCTCACTGAAACCTCTGCCTCCCAGGTTCAAGCAGTTCTCCTGCCTCAGCTTCCCAAGTAGCTGGGACTAAAGGCACACATTACCATGCCCAGCTAATTTTTTTTGTATTTTTAGTAGAGATGGAGTTTCACCATGTTAGCCAGGATGGTCTCAATCTCCTGACCTCCTGATCCGCCCACCTTGGCCTCCCAAAGTGCTGGGATTATAGGTGTGAGCCACCATGCCTGGCTGGCTTTATTTTTCAAACCAGAAGTTAGGAGCCAGTCACTACCAGATTAGTTTTTTTAATGCAAGGATTCCTTCAATATTCTCTTCTGAATGCTCAGGACTTTACTATGCTGTAAGGGATGGGATATTTGAGGAGTCTGCCTACCCTTCTAATGCCAACTCTCATTGCTTCATTACTGGTGCCCTCTGCTTCAGGAAAATCCACTTGCTGACTTTTTTTGGGTGCCATCTGCCTTCCTGCTTTCAGAAAGTCTTCTTCATGCCTTTCCTCACATCCTCAACACCATCTTCCCTCTTCCCTAGTCTCATCCATTTTTCAAGACCCACTCAAGTCCGACCTCTGAAATGATAACCTTGCCACCCTGCCAAGCTGCATATTATTATTTTTGGATTCCCCTAACCTTTATCCTTTGAGTCATTCACTTGTCATTATATCATAGAAATTTGCGATCATGAGTTTTAGTTCAACCTTGGGAAGGCTTCTAGGTGACATAGATACAGCATATCATTTATAGCATATCATTAATGATAAAGGAGTAAAGAACGTTTATCAATACTCTTTAGAAATGAGTGCTTCTATTTTGTATTTCAAAAGACATTTTATAAATTTTGCAAAGGCATGCACTATCCCTGTCTTATTCACTAGAACAGTCTATAATTTTCTGTTGAACTAAGTTAGGAAAAAGCCTGTATTATTGTTTCAAAGTCTTTGGGGTTGCTTTTTGTTAATTTTTTGATGCCTGCCATAATGAGAATTTGAAGCTTTTCTTTCCACTCTTGTGTCATTGTTATTTCCTTTTTAGCACCTGGCAGGAGTTTAAGCTGCTCACTTGACTCTATGCCTAGTTCCTGTCCCAGAATGATGCTGTTTATCATGACTTCAGAAGGTACAGAGAGTAACCTAAATTATCCTGTTATTAAAGTAATAGATAAACCTAGAGGCTACTCCACAATGAACATTCCATTAGCTTAAAAAACCCACTGTGCACCATAAAACTGATCTTGTTGGCTATCTGGGCTTGTTTATTGTTATGGGATTTAAGGCAACTTTGAAGATCTGACTTGATTCACTAGAGAAATTTCTGTTTTAAATTCTTTCCAAGTACACTAACTTATATTCTCCTGATTTTAATTTTGTTCATGCCTTGTACTCTATCTTCATTGGATTTGATCTTTCTGATAACTATCAGAAATAGCCCCGGGTATATTTGAAAGCAGACATTCCATCAATTCTCACAGTAATTTGCATAAGAAAAAAAAACACTTGGGAAAGCAGTAGCCTATACATACCTGGATTTAGAAGGCATCTTTTGCTGTCAACTTTGTAGTTCTAAGTATTCTTCTGTTATATACATACCTCGTGTGAATGGCAGCCAGACTTTGCTTACTTTGGTGTGCATATTTACTGGAAGCAGAAAAGCGGTTTCTTGACATATGTTACCTGTTTGCTAAACTACACAATGACCACAGTTTGATTCTACATGGACCTTTGAGATTCAGGCTGAGACTTATGCAGAGCTGAAAGCATAGACCCTGATATTTTACCTGACAGCAACTGAAGTTATCATTCATTAATTTATTCAATATTTATTTATGGGGTGGCTTTTTTAGGTCAGATACCATGGGAGGACCTATGATGCAAAGATGAACTAGACAGGTACATCTTTGTCCCAAGGAAGTTATAGTTTATTCACATAGACATTAAGCAGGGGATTATACTAGTAATAATTTAGTTACTCTTTTGATAGTGGTATGAAGTAAAAATCTAGTGCATAATGAGAGAATATAATAAGAAGCCCCAACCTCATCGGAGATGGTGAGTTCCAGGGAGGAATGAGAGTGGGAAGTGTTCAGAACGGCTTCCCAGAATGGGTGTTATTTACTCTAGGGGTTGAAAAATAAGTGGGAAACAGCAAGGCGGAGAGAGGAATTAGCAACTCCACAAATATGAAAATAATGAATGCTTAGAAAACCTACATTGTTTATGATAAAATCTCAGTTATGCTTATCTAATCCTATATTTGTTCTGTCACTGATACTCAGTGAGAAGGACTGTATGATCTGTAAAATCTGTTTAACCTGGTTAGAATAAATTATGAAGAACTCGAGTGGTGTTAAGGAAACTTTGAAGGTCAGGAGATGAGGCAGAGATTATAAATGTTTTCAAGAAAAAACTTCCTGTTATAGATATCCCGTGAGGGTTCTAACCCATTCCAAACAGAATTATTTACACTAAACAAATGAGTTTTTTTTTGGATATATTTGTTGACATATGTGGATTATAATATAATTTAGCACTATAGATCAAATTGAACCTAATATATTATCCAACTATAAGAAAATATTTAGCATTTTGGGTGTTTAATAATGTAACTATTGTGTTCTCTATATGTCTAAAATAATACAAGAAAGAAAAACAGAAAGAAGGAAAGTCAGATACAAAGGAGAGTCAGAAGGAAAGAAATAAGCAAGATGGGTACATTTAACATTTTATGAAAAATGTGTTTTAAATCAAGTAACATCATTTTTTAATTCTCCCACTGAAAAATGCTCATAAGGACTGGAATCATTTTACATTGACAAGAACAATAAACATATGTTAACTAGAAAATAATGTATAATTTTCTCTATCCCTCACTTTGTAGCTACTAGTCCTTTAGGTGAATCCAAAATACAGTTCCTATGTAAAATTCACTTGTGTTCCCTCTCAATTATGGATGCTTTACCCGTTTTAAAGGCCAAGAGAGAGAAAAGGAAAATAGTATTGTAGTTGCAGTCAGCTGTCGGCTAGAGCTGCAGTCATCTGAGCTAACTACTTTACTTATGTTATTGAACTTAATTATAATGGCAACTGCTTTTTTTACATGTGGGAAAACCAAAGGTCAGAGAGATTAACTAATTTGCTGAACATTTGAGCTAGAATTCAAATGTAGTCCAAATCCCATTTTATATCTTCTAAATTAAAGAAAAAATGTTTTTCCCCCTGGAGAAAGAATGCCTGATTTTCCTTATTATTTGGGATTAGTGGCTGTCTATAAAATTCTGAAGGGTCTCATAAAGGTAAACTTACATCTGGTGTGTGGTTCAAAGAGAATTTTCTTAACTAGACGGTAAAATGTTCCTTCAAAGGGCTGAGCATAGAAACATTGCTAATGACTTTTTGTTCACATTTCCTCTTAAATTTTTATTTTTCATTACAATTATAAATATGTTTATTCTAGAAAATTAGAAATACATAAGTGCACAAAGAAATAAAATCTCAACATGCCAAAGATAACCATTAAAAAAAATTGATAACATTTTCTCCTATCCTATTTCATTTGAATATATATTTCCAAAGATGTATTAGATACTAAATGTAAAATTTTGTATCATCTTTCACTTAATACTGTAAGACTTTTTATCTATTGCTAGAAACTGTTTATAAATATAACTTTTAATATGTGCATATTATTTCATTGTATAGCTTAGAAATATGGGAAATATTCACTTTATAAATCAATTATTATGACTTATGTTTAGAACTATTAAGGGAAATATAAAGTATAATTAGATTTAATATTTTCTTTGAGTGACACCCTTCTAAAAATAATTAACTTGTTTCAGATTAGGTCATTTGCCAAATGGGTTGAATTTGCAGCAAACCTCCTTAGTCAGGCTGTGTATCTTTCATCCACATTTTTGGAGAAAATTTTGACTTTCAATTCTTTAAACTTTACTGTGATTTGGGACAAGGCATTGCTTATTTTTTCTGCTTCTTAAGATATATTGGGTAGCAATACTTTTTATTTTTTGCTTTTTGCTTACATAAAGCAAATAATTCAGCAATTATATTAATAGAAAATAACAAGCATATCCCTTTTCTTGACTTTTAATCAGCAAATATTTTTTTTCCAGGAAAACCTGAAGCATTAAGATCCATTTCATGTATATAATTCTACCTATAGTCTGATATTTCCTTAACTGGCAACTGAGTAAAAGCATGGATTCTAGAATTAGATAGCCTGGTTCTGCCACCTAGGCATTGTGTGAATTTGAGCAAGTTACTCAAACTCTGACCTTATTTCCTTGCCTATAATGTGAGCATAACAACCATTAGCTACCTCCGAGGGATACTGTGAGGATTAAATAGATTAATAAATATAAAGGATTTCAAATAGCACCTGGTATTCTGTAGGTGCACAATAAATATCAACTATCATTATTGTATGATGCCCTTATCTTTCATTTGGTAATGAAAATTTTGTTATGCTGATCTTTGGTTAAAACACACCATTTTCAGATTAAAGCCTGAGCCAGTCTGTAATGCCTTTGAGGGCACAGAATCTATATCCCTCAGATAGGCTATTCGTTGTTTAGCTCAGTAACTGGTGTTGGGTGTCTATTTCTAGATGTTTCTTTCTGAGACTACTCTTTGGCCGAGTTGCTAATTTGATTATCTACAATATGATTTGAGCATCTGGGGCTCACAGTAATGGTGCAGAGACATCCCTTGAGTAATGGAGCTGATTCTGAAACAGAACTGATTCTCCAGCAAAACTTCTGCCTGGCCCTATCTCCACCTGAGGGGAAAGAAGAAAGCATGAACTGAGGACAATGATTATGCTAGTCTGGTTGGGGTAAAGTCTTTGTTATGGGGAAGGTGGGATATGGATTGGGACTAGATGATGGAGGACCTTGACTGCATGGGCAAAGCCATTGGATTCTGTTCTTTACAATATGGAGAAAAATAAGGGAAAAGAGGGGCATCTTTCCATAGGACCCAGAGTCTGAGTCCAGTCTGTTTATATTCACAAGTCCCCTGATTCTTGCATTTTAAAATTTGATTCATTTCTTTCTCAGTTGCAGTATGTCGGAGGGCATTGTTTTCACATTTCTGCTAATAACCAAGTGGTCTGGTCATTGAGGAAAAAAAATGGGGGGCAGATAGTTCTTCTGCAATCCTCAAGTGATCATATGCAGATGGCAGCCTCCTTTGTTCCTGTAGTGTTGGCCTTGGGCCCCAGTGATTTTTTGTAAAATTTCTGTTCTTTAGGAGCCCCCGAAATTGAGACTTGACTGTTATAGATACATGATTATGTGGATGATCATTATTTAATCCTTTAACGATAGTAAAATTTTATTTTTATGAGTAGTTATTTGGTAGGCTATACATACTACATACACATGCAAAACAGATGCTCTATATTTTCTAAGTACTGTAGTCAGAATCCCTGAGAGTTGTGCCTAGCAGTAAGTGGCCATAGTAGTCCAAAAGGTTAATTATTTTATCAGCTAAAGAAGTTCTCAAGCATCTTCCAGAACAGAAATGTCTATGTAACAATCTTGCTGGATAATGATGGGAAACATTTCCATTAATAATACAGTGTGGGAACCGGGAGGCAATTGAAATGAGGTCAAAGGATAAGGACAAAATGCCAGAAGGATGTAGTTCATCGAAAGGCTATCTAATTTTTATTGTGTTTGCAACAAATTCTGTGGAGATTTTATAAACCACCTCAGACAGAAAATGGCAGAAATTAATTATATCCAGCTCTGTATTTTCACAATTTGTTCATGCCCTCATTTTAGCCCTTCCACATCATGTTATAATTTCATATCATGTCAATCAAGTTGTATCTGTCTTCCCTACTAGATTGCTGATCCTTTACCTTGGAGATGGGCCACTTATTTTGTGGTCTCGAGCACCTGACATAGGCATGACACATAGTAAGTGCTAAAATGCCTGATTCTTGATGTACTTATGAGAATCTGTACTTATGAAAGTCGATATAAAATAATAGATGTTTGCCACCAGTCAGTGGTGGCAGCAGCTTAAAAGAAAACAATGCTCATTACAGACAGTCTGCTTTGGAAACCAAATATTCCACAGGGGCATAGTCAGCAATGATGGGGGCTGAAAGTGACATGTGATCTATTCTCTGTGACTAAGAAGTAGATCTATAGGTTACATCCACAAATTATGCCATGTGTCATTTTTGGTGAAAAGTAGGTATAAGTGATATAAGAACCTGACGCAGGCTTAGGAGTGGATCAGGACTGCTCTTCCCATGGAGACTGATTGAGTTCCTTCATCAGATAGCAAAGAGGCAGCAATTGGAGTAGAAATCGGCTGCAGCTTTGTCCCATGTCCAGAATTCCTGGGGTCCCTAGAACTACTAAATACAGGGTAGTGCTCTGCTTTCGCTGGACTGGGGTTGGTCTGGGAAGCCCATGTGAAAACACTCCCCAAGGAGTGCTTGCCTCAGCTCGTTCCTGTCATTCCACACATACTCTCTGACTCAGACAGTCTTTGGGTCCTGCCCTGCTCCATGGCGTGAGAACACATGTCCTGCCTACAGTTGTGCCCTGGGGTTAGGTATAGAAAACCTGTTGCAGGCAATGATAGGCAAAGGAAAGGGAACTAATCATTACAGCATGCTCTAACAGACCCAAACTGAGATTCACTCAAATTTCGTCCACCATTTCCATCTTCACCACCAGCTCTAGTCTCATCCACCATCTCCCATATGTTAATGGTGCTTGCTATGTGCTTAGGTGCTGTGTGATGTTCTTTGTGGAGATTGCTGCATTGAATCCCGACAGGGACCTTGTGAAGGAGAAGGACCCCATACCTTTAGGATCTTGGCAAAATTGGTCATTATGAGTCCAGAGAGCAAGTGTTCTACCAAAGAATAAAAAATTAGGCTGGGCATGGTGGCTCATGCCTGTAATCCCAGCACTTTGGGAGGCTGAGGCAGGTGGATCACTTGAGGCGAGGAGTTTGAGACCAGCCTGGCCATCATGGTGAAACCCTGTCTCTACTAAAAATACAAAAATTAGCAGGGTGTGATAGCACATACCTGTAATCCCAGCTACTTGGGAGGCTGAGGGACGAGAATCTCTTGAACCCAGAGGCAGAGGTTGCAGTGAGCTGTAATTAAACCACTGCACTCCAGCCTGGGCCACAGAGTGAGACTCTGTCTCAAAAAAAAAAATTAATTAATTAAAAAACAATCTAGAATGGCCTATTCTTTGTACAACTGGATGCTGATGGCAGAATGCACTTTTGAAGCTCACTTGAGGTTATAGAAAGCAATATAGCACATATACACCATGGAATACTATGCAGCCATAAAAAATGATGAGTTCATGTCCTTTGTAGGGACATGGATGAAGCTGGAAACCATCATTCTCAGCAAACTATCGCAGGGACAAAAAACCAAACACCACATGTTCTCACTCATGGGTGGGAATTGAACAATGAGAACACGTGGACACAGGGAGGGGAACATCACACACCGGGGCCTGTTGTGGGGAGTTGAGGCGGGGAGGGATAGCATTAGGAGATATACCTAATGCTAAATGACAAGTTGGTGGGTGCAGCACACCAACATGGCACATGTATACATATGTAACAAACCTGCATGTTGTGCACATGTGTCCTAAAACATGAAGTATAATAATAATTAAAAAAAAAAGAAAGCAATATAGCAGTAAGGGATATTTAAGCAGGAGAAAAATCTTATGATTTATGTGTTTTCCTCTTCTCATTTAAAAAGTGCAGATGCTGATCAGGATAAAAGCCACACAAGCAAACTCCGGTCTGAAATATCATTTTACTTCAGTCTGTTTAGTGTTATGCAGTGTGGTTGCAAGTTATGCTGAAATGGAAATTTAATGCTACTGTATCCTGAGATGTATTTACATGGTATTTTTGTAGTCTGTGCATGTACCTTCTGCTTATTACCAAATAAGCTGTATATTCATCGTTGTTGGTTCAATCTAAGACTGACATATTGACATTGAAAAGATGAAGCAAGATTATATCTCAGAGTAAAAACATGCAGGGAAGAAAATGGAAACTCAGGAGTAAATACTGATATCTGTGAATAAAGAAGCAATTTTCAGTTTGCTTTACATGATTCTTAAGGAACCTATCATGTTTATATCTGTGTACGTTATTTCTCACTACAAAACTAGTGAATGCTTGTTTAATACCTTCAGATAAAGGTGCGGTTTTAGTGAGGACTTGGTTCTTCCAGAAAAGCAAAGAATAATAAGAAAAAAACTCAAACAAACAAATGCATCAAATGACTGCCTGTATTGATTGCAAATAGCTTTTTTCCTCAAAAGAAGGTTTCTGGTTGTTGCAAACCTAGTGTCAAAGGAGTGATTTGTTCAGAGTTGTCATTTGTGGAAGTTGCCTCTAAATTATAGGCTAAAGATATGTCAGGACATGAATAGAAATATTCTCTTCCTGAGAAACACATATTCATGTTCCATGTGTGATTTGAAACATGCCTATTTGCCCCATAGGTTCTTAATTTTCCTCCATTAACCTCTTTAACTTTTTGTTTCAGATTTACAGAGAAATGAAATAGAACTGAATTTTATATGAAAATGGTGGGAATTTCTTTCTTTCTTTTTCAGAGTTGAAAGGTTTTTTTCCCAGAGAGATTTGCTGCCACCTGTATCTTTGGGCTTCACATAGTTGATAAACAGCTCATGGATTATACAAACATAACTGCATTTCCGTTACCTACCCTTGGCAAATTACAGCCTGCCAATAGAACTGCCATAGCAGAGAGCAGGCATTTGGTTTTAAACTGTCTTCTTTTTCTTAAATCCTTAAAACAAGACCATGGTTCTTCATATTCAGTGGAAATAGAAAATGCTCAGGCTCAATGCACACAAGGAAATTGCAACCTTGCTCTCTCCCTCCCTGCCCCCTTTCGTTTGAAAGCGACCCTTTACTGCATTGCAGTCCTGCAGAGCTCTCAGGGAGCCGGAACCACAGGCTGTGGGTGGAACTGCACGACGAGCCCAGCTGCCTCTTTTATAGGCAAACCACAGATTCTTGCTGGAGGTCATCTTTTACATTGTATTTCGATTTTATAGAGCCGCTTTCGATAGAGAATACAGACACATTGCTGAGATGTGTGCAGCATGACAGTTTTATAAAAAGAAAAGAAAAACCCAAAGGTTATTTAGTTACCTACCAGTCTCATTCAATGCTGTGTTTTGGAAGAGGTCGTGGGAGAAAGAAAAGTTTTCATTTCAATGTGTGATGGTAGATATGAGAAGCTGTTTTGGCCTGATTAATCTGGTAATTTTTCTTGAAGAAAACATTTAATAAAAGAGAATGTGTTAGCTATTTTGCTCCCTTTCTTCCTCTCAAAATTTAATTTTTATTATGAAATAATATCAGATTTTGAAGTAAATTTACCTGGTCTGTTTTTGACAATGTGCATTAGTAAGATATTCTTCCATTCTGCTTGGGTTTTTAGGATTGTGGAGTGGGCTCTTTCTCCATTTGGACCCCAGAGGGAAGCCTAATCTCACATTTTCCAGGCTATTGAAGGAGGAGAGGCTTGTCCTGGTTAGGGGGAAGTTTCCCTGGATTGGCCTCTCCTGCACCCATGTCACCTAGGCAGCCCAGCAAACCCTTCTCACCTGGGTGAGGTTGTATGACTGCATTGGGCCTCCTTCAGTGGGGCTGTGCAAAGAAGGATCCATTGCCTAGGGACTGGGACCTTAGTTAAGGCCCTTTACTCTCTGAGCCTCAGTTTCCTAGACTAAATAATCTAGATGTTAAATATTAACCCACTTATCACCCAAGGTTATTGTGAAAATTAAAAGCATGTGGGACAATGCACGTGAAATACCTTCTGTCACAGAATGATCTCATCAAATAGCATTTTTTGAGTTATTTTTGCTGTTATTTGAGGAAATGAATGTTCCTCTCCTGACTTACCCTCCTGAATATATGTGAACCTCTTGTGTAGGCTGGCTCTGCATTCTGAAATTCCTCTTTCTAGCAGGTATCAGAAGGATAAATAAAATATGTGGTTTGTTGTCTGTCTTGCCTGCTAGGTGTTAACTACAGGAGGTGAAGCACTGCATCATTTTGCTTAGCAGAACGGTTTTCTTGTAGCCCAATGCCAAGTACATGCTAGGCATTCAGCAAGTATTTGTGGAGTGAACTCAGAAAGTTCGTGAATCTACCTGCTGAGTGTAAGGATGCCTTCTGTTTTGTTCCTCCACTTTCCCTTTCCTGTAAAGGCTGCCTTACCTTTACTACAGTAAGGGACTGTGAAGACGTACAGATCTTTTGGGCAAGTTTGAGATATTGTCTGAAATAGTCTAATGATTTTATATTTCACCAAAACATTCCCCAGTTCCACTATGGTTTGATTTTCTTAGCACCTACTTTCCTTTTAGGAAAGCAGGCCAAATGTCTTTAGTAAATCATGTGATTTTAAAAAATGCTTCAAGGAATTAAGTAATTGAGTGTTTTTATACTTGTTCATTGAAACTAGACCTCTGGCTAAAAACGCTTGTTTCCTTATTGACTTCTCATCTGAAGCTAGTTCAAGTGAAGCCTAGATTGTTTTTTGAAGGTTACAATTAACTTCAAGTCATGAATGTGAGAAGAAAATGATACAAATGTTCATTTTATTTCTATGCATGCTTAGAACTTCTGGGGACCTGTGTAATAGACTGTGGTCTGTAAGTGTAGTACATTAATGATTTGACAGATTTAAAAAGTAATTGTTTTCGCTAATATGTGATTATGTTGAAATCTTAATAAAGTATGCAACTCTTATGAACTGTGGAACTGCTGTAATGTTTAGAAAGTTGTTCCTTATTCTGTGTTTCACTGACTGTGTGATACTGCAGAGAGCTTTGTGAGCTTTATATTTGGATATTTAAAACTCAGATAATATGTAACACTTTTTAGCTGCCTGTTCGAAGGGCTATAGAGGGAAAAAGACATGATGATACTTTGCCACTTTATTGCAAATGTTAAATATAGCCAAATGAATGACATCTCCTTTGTAGCACCCAGAAACAAGGCTGGGTAGGGTAACATTCTGCGCTGAAGGATGGTTAATGGGTTGGCTAATAACCTGGGCCCCTCCAGGCACAGGGTGAACCCCACTGGTAGTGTGGTCACTCCATCCAGAGACCAGGAAGGATTATGAAGACCAGGAGAGTTTCTTTAACTCAGGTTTAAGCCAATAAAGGTATTAATTGAGAATGATTGAATGTATACTGTGGAATATGAGTTGCATAGACTTTATTGTTGGCTTAAGTGCAATCATATTAAACAAAAATACCAAATGGTATACCAGTGCACTTAGCTATTCATTCCTGGCTCTTCCTGATAAGAAACTGATGTCTCATAATTTTGTATCTCTAATGATGATGCGAATTATTTCTGTTCTGGTCTGGTTCCAATTTCTCCTGTTTGGTAGTTCAGCTTCTCCACATCCTCTTCTCTCTGTGGCATTCTGTTCTTTTGCCATTCATTTGTGCTGGAATCAGAATCGTCTTGCTATTAGAACTCTTTTCACTAATGGCAGAGAATTTTCATCATCTGTATCAGCAGTTACCCTAAGTCTAGATTTGATCTCTTGTGACTTTGTCATCTGTATTGCTTCCATGGGTTACTTCCTCTAATATACTACAAAGTGTTTGTACCCATTATTATTTGAATATAACTTTTCTATTTTTCCCAATTCTTCATTTTTTCCACTTCCATTTGAGTCATTCCCTTGTTTACCTTTGTGCTAAAGTGGAGAGGGGTTTATGGATTCTTAAGCTTTTTGGTAGGAGGAGTAATTTCTACATTGGGTTTGAGCTGACAATGGGTTTCTTCATTGGGCAGACATGTAGATACCATTACCCTTTGGCATAATTAGGTTTCACTATTTATTAAGGGATTATATAACATGTCTGCCAGTCACAAAAGCTTCAAAAATCTCATGAGTCAAGATATATATATTCATTCTGTATGTAATATTTCCATGGAAATAATGAACATAGGTAAGTTCAATATTTTGCTTTGTCCATGAATATAGATTTTTCACAATGTGTGGTTTTTAAAATGCTTTACTATTTTGGAGAATTCTGTTCAAGAAATAACTGCTTTCTCTGCCTTTCTGTGATCAAAAATAGATGTTGATATAAAGAGACTTTGAAAGGCCTTGGTCTAAATGAGAATACAAATACATTGTGCTCGTGTTGGAATCCTGACTCTTTTGCTTTAATGTGGCCTCTAGAACTATAAAATAGGCTTAATGTCAGAAGTCAATTGAGAACACGTGTTCTCTGTTAATTGCATGTTTATGAATAGACTCTAAATTAAATGTTAGAAGGTTTTTTCTCCAATTGCCTATCTTAAATTGAAATTCAAAGAGTAGTTTTTAAAAAAACCTTTATTATGAAATAATTTTAGAGTTACAGAAGACTTGCAAATACAGTAGAAAATTTTTGTATTCCCTTCACCCAGCTTCACCCAATGGTAACATCTTACATAATGATGGTGTATTTATCAAACAAAGAAATTAACATTGGTACAATACTGTTAATTAAATGACAGACTTTATTTGGATTTTACAAGTTTTTCCTTCTGTAAAGGACAGGTTTGAAAATAATTTTTACTGATAGAATATAGAAAGAATATTTTATTAAAAAATTCAATAAAGTTGTACCTTTAAGAGATTTGGCAGTCTAATGTACATAAAATTTGAGGAGCTTCTCAGAGAATGTTAATGATGCATTCAAATAATTTTATAAGATGAAATATTTAAAAACATTGACATCTTAATTTTGATGTAGAGAATTGATTATTCTGACCAACCAGTGTAATGAATACAGTATCATTTATACAAATATTTTTTCAAATGAATGTAGTTTTGCTTTTCTTAAAATTCGGCAGTGAGGATACAAGGAAATTTCTATAGCAATTTCTCCTTTCATTCTGCAATCTTTAAATTCAGTGACTCTCACAAGCTTTTTCCTGTAAACTTAATAAATTTTGCACGTTGTGGAAAATATTGCCCGTTTTGAGAAAAGCTGAAATAATTTTTATTTTTAAGAGTACATAAAAGGAACAACCAACAATCCGATGAATAAAAAGAGATAAATTCAAAGGTGTGGGAGGGCCAGGCGTGGTGGCTCACACTTGTAATCCCAGCACTTTCGGAGGCTGAGGTGGGCAGATCACCTGAGGTCAGGAGTTCGAGACCAGCCTGGCCAACATGGCAAAACCCCCATCTGTACTAAAAATACAAAAAAAAAAAAAAAAAAATTAGCCAGGCATGGTGGGTGCCTGTAATCCCAGCTACTTGGGAGGCTAGGAATTGCTTGAACCCAGGAAGCAGAGGTTGCATTGAGCAGAGATTGCACCACTGCACTCCTGCCTGGGCAACAAGAACAAAACTCTGTCTCAAACAAACAAAAACAAAACAAAAAAAACCTTCCAAAAAACCAAAGGTGTGGGAGGACATAATGTATTATTTTAGTTTCATTTTCTTCATAAAAAGTCGTTATATGAACCCAGGAAGCCATCTTTTTAAAAATTGTATTTGGTTGCTTAGTAGCATTAATACATATAAAAAGATCATCGTCTCTGCCTCACTTTGCCCTTTGGTGCTCCCTTGTGCTTGGTACAGGCATGATACCTTGAGATCACTGACTTTTCAAATGTTCTGTTTTCATAAATACCTGAGCACTAGGCTCAGTAGAACATAAAGCAACTATGTGCAGCATTAAAAAAAAAAAAGAAAAATGAATTCCTAACTTTAAAAATCTCCTAATGGACTCGATATATGAGGGAGTTGGAGGTTTAGTCTTTGGGGATTCTGGTAAAATTTGAGGCTTTGCTCTCACCTTTTAACTACAAAGCAAATGCTATATAGCAATGTCGATATTAAAGTGAAATTTAAATATATATATATTATATATATACACATAGATGTATTTAAAGAACTTCCCGAACTTTAACCCTAGGAGAAACATTGTGATTTTCAATAAGAGAGATTTAAAATGTAAATGCTGAAAAGGATTCTCAGCAAGGTAAAAGTGAGGGTTATCAGTGCAAATCTAATGGGCATAGCTTAAAAAGTAGATGCCTGAACTTTTATTGAATCTGGCAAAGGAAACTTTAAAATTGAAATTCGATTTCTTCTTTTGAAGATGAAATATATCAAGGGAGGTTTACAGGAAAAGCATGTTTTTCCATTGCTTCCCACAAAGTTTCATTTGTGAAGGTAAATTTTAAACGATGGCAAGGATGATCGGTGTTGTTAGAGCCAAGTTCTAATTTAGGTATTCTTACTTGGCATTCAGTGATTTCACAGCAGAGAGTTTGGCCTTAAATCTATAGCTGTTCCCGGAATGGAAGCCTATTTACAAGAACTGTTGATTATGAAAGGTTGGCTTATATATTGATTTTTATGTAGGCCAGTGTTGTGGAAAGATTTAAACAAAGAGCTGGAAGCAGGGGAGTTCTCCAAGGCTTCTCTCCTTTGGATTGGCTCTGTTGGACTTGTTCCCCTCACAGTGAGGCCACGGGGCAAGGGAGGAATGCTTTCCAAGGTCTTTCAAATGTATTTTTTTGTCTTTATATTTGGAAGTTCTCCATAGTACAGAACTGCCTGTTTGAATTTACAAAGGCCGATATCACTGGTGTTGCTGTGGTTAAGAAGACCTACTGTGTAATGCCTTGTTGCTGATAGCCAGTGACAGGTGCTATATAGGGGCTGTCTCTTTTGATTAGTATTGTATTTATTTTGGGATGATAGGAGCAACCTTGTACAGGTTCTGGAGAAATTCCTTAGCTTTTCAACAATAAGCAAGGAGGGTTGTCTTAGTCCATTTTCTGTTGCTTGTAACAGAATACCTGAAACAGGGTAATTTATACAGAGAAGGAACATATTTCTTGCAGATATGGTGGCTAAGTCCAAGATTGAGGTGGGTACTTGTGGTGAGGGCCTTCTTGCTGGTGGGGACTCTCTGCAGAGTCCTGAGCCAGTACAGGGCATCACTCGGAGAGGAGGCTGAGTGTGCTCTTCATGTCTCTCTTCCTCTTCTTATAAAGCCATGAGTCCCACTCCCATGATAACCCACTAATCCATTAATGCATTAATCCATGAATGGACTAATCCATTCTTGAGTGCTCTATTCACCTCTTAAAGGCCCACCTCTCAACCTGTCAATACTGCCACACTGGGGATTAAGTTTCAAGGTGGGTTTTAGAGGGGGCATTCAAACCACAGCAAGCATGTTATTCATTTACATGCTTATAAGAATAGCTCCTTTTTGGTTCACCTGAAGTTAAATTTATATTAGAGACATGATGATGTTTAATCCAAAAGTAATTCAGTTTGAATTCCAAACGCTTAATGATAGTAATTGATTTAATTCTCTTCCCTGATATTGGTTGGGAGCTTATCATATTTTATTTGCTTCTATGAGTGGTAAAGTCAAGTTGGGAACTTCAGGGGCCACCAAGAAAGAGCTGCTGCTGGAGAGATTGGCTGTAATACTCTCAGGCAGTGGGAGGATGGGGATTTGGTTCTTTTCTTTAGGTGGAGAGGGTGTGGTATCCCTTGGTTGCTTGAGCTTAGTGATGCCCAAACTAACCCCAGAAAAGAAAATCATCAAGATCTGACTGGTTAAGCAAATAATTAAAATTATAGACAATAGTCACTTTGCTAGGGTTTTACCATGTGATATTGTTATGGGATTGTATTAGGAATGAAATAGAATTTAATGACCAACTATTGTTATTATTCTTTAACTCACCACCTTTGTTTCCAGTCCCACCTTGGTCCCAACCTTCAGTAGATCCTCAAGGAAGCATGGGAGAGACAGAATTTTACCCTATCAGCAGGACGAAACCACAACTTGAAAATACTTTCAAGTATATATTAGTTGTCTGTTGCACTGTAACATGTTACTCCAAAACTTAGCAGCTTAAAGCAACAAACAT